>NC_000012.12:38369218-38520734 GCF_000001405.40 Homo sapiens | reverse complement strand
GCAATGGGAATAGCAGGCGCAAAAACACTGAGGCTTAAGTCTGGCTAAAAACTGAGGTTGATCAAGAGACTGGTATTGATGACATCAGTTGGTGGGTACCATAAGATGAAGTTGGAGAGATAATGTGGAGTAAGAAAAGAGGGTAGCAGATTGTGTATGTTGATTAAAATGTGTTTACTCTGTAATTCAGAGTAAAATGTGGCTTTTACTCAGAATCAGATGGGAAGCCATTGGAGAAGTTTGAGGAAAAAATAAAAAGCCTTTTTGGTTTTTTATATTTTAAAAACCAACAAAACTATATTTTATATTTAAATAAATATAATATTTATATTATATTAAAATATTAACAAAGTTTATATTTTAAAAACCAACAAAAATTGGTTTCATATATTTTATAAAGATTAGTCAGGGTAGATGGCAGCTACAGCAATATGTGTGTGTGTGTGTGTGCATGTGTATTTCCTTGACACCCTCCCTGTACACACACACACACACACACACACACACACACACAAAGAGATATAGCAACTAGAATAGCAAAACCACAACCCATAGACAGCATCTGCAACTAAACCAGAGGATAAGATTTCCACACAAATTCCAAATCATGAGTGAATGCAGAAAAACCACTGACAGCAACAAGGTCTGCAGTGTATCAGCAACTATTCAGAAAAAAAAAAAAAAAAAAAAAAAAATGGAAGGCAAGCAAAAGCATTATGCAAAGCCTGAGAACTAGAAAACTCCCCATTTGAAAGGTTTTCAAAGGAAAGCTCAGTGGGTCAATTTGTGGTCAGCATCCAAAACTGGGAAGTGGCTTTTTCAGGTTATATTTCATGGATGAGTGCAAGCTTGGAGGAAGATGGAGTTGTCTGGACCATGAGAATTCTCCTTTCTAATCCAAGGCCCTGTATTGAGGAGAAATTCCTGTGCGCCTGCCTTTAAGGCAGATGGGGGTGAGGAAAGAGAAGAAACAGTTAAAAGTAGGGGAGAGGACAGAGCTAGAATATCTTAGTTACTTCCAGGACATTTTTGAACACTTTAAAATAACTAAAGAGAAATCTCTAGAATGCGAGGCTTAAAAGATGTCCCGCCCATGTTTTCCTTTGAGGAGAAGAAAAGCCCATTTCACTTAAACATGAATAGTCCATAAAGATCCAGTAGAATTTCACACAAATTAGTTTTTGGAGGAGGAGAGAGATAGAGAATGAGAGAGAGAGAGAAAGAGAGATGAGAATAACATCTCTTCAGTCTCTTATGTCTTGGGACATAAGTCATGTCCCAACTTAGTTGTGTCCACTGAAAAGTACTAGAAACTATACCCATCAAAGAACACTAGTAGTGCCTAGATTATTATCTCCATAGCACATTTACCACTAAAAGGGAGCAGGGCTCATTAAATGGCTGATTCTAGGTTCAGAGCAAGAAATATACAAAACGAGCCTGGAAACTGTCATACCAGAAATTAAGGAAGTTAAAACCCACTAGGCTCATGGCAAAATGACTTAGGAGCCATCTTCAACAGATGCCTACTGACAAACTATGTTACAATTTCAGTATCAATACGAATAATAACTTCAATAAACACATACCTTATAATTCGTGAATTCATATTCATTTAATTGCCATTCAGAATGGCAATTATTAAAAAGTCAAGAAACAACAGATGCTGGCAAGGTTGCAGAGCGATAGAAACATTTTTACACTGTTTATGGGAATGTAAATTAGTTCAGCCATTGTGGAAGACAGTGTGGCAATTCCTCAAAGATTTAGAACCAGAAATATCATTTGACCCAATAATCCCATTACTGGGTATATACCCAAAGGAATATAAATCATTATATTATAAAGATACATGCATGCTTATGTTCATGGCAGCACTAATCACAATAGCAAAGATATGGAATCAACCCAAATGCCCATCGATGAGAGACTGGATAAAGAAAATGTGGTACATATACACCACGGAATACTATGCAGCCATAAAAAGGAATGAGATCATGTCCTTTGCCAGGACATGGTTGAAGCTGGAAGCCATTATCCTCAGCAAACTAATGCAGGAACAGAAACCAAACACTGCATGTTCTCACTCATAAGTGGGAGCTGAACAATGAGAACACATGGACACAGGGAGGGGAACATCCCTCACTGGGGTCTGTTGGAGGAGGGCAGGGAGGGGAGAGAGCATTAGGGAAAAGAGCTAATGCATGCTGGGCTTAATACCTAAGTGATGGGTTGATAGGTGCAGTAAACCATCATGGCACACGTTTACCTATGTAACAAACCTGCACATCCCACACTTGTCCCCCAGAACTTAAAAATAATGGCATATAACTATAAGCAAAAATAAAAAAATTGCTTATTGGAGTCGAGCCTCATTCTGTGTTCTCCCTTTGAGAACACCTAACCAAAAATCCAAATGTATGAAATACCTTACTTGTGAAGGGTTTACCTACTTTACAAGTTTATTACTATTTTGTTATAAAAATTAAAAGTAATATCGATATAACAATACTGTATTGATATTAAATATATCAATAGTGTATTGATAGATACAGTATATGATCAATACAGTATTATGTATCAATATAACAGTCTTGATATCAAATATTCACTATAACAGGATATTTGAAAAATACAACTTTTCATGAAATAACTTCACTTGGAGAACTGATTTTAGTTTTTGCCTACTCACAGATATATCTTTTTTTAGTTCCTATCATAGTATGATACAATTTTGTAACACATCTGTTTCTGTAATAATAATATAAAATAAACACTATTCTAAGAGGTCATGATCTTTTTGGTCATTGTTTTAATATCACATAACTTTGGATCAAGTAGATATTGATTGAACTAATAATTTTCCTTTGATATTTCTGGTGACTATCATTTTTCTGTAACATTAAAAATAACATCTCTCTCTCCCTCTCTCTCTCTTATTCATGGAGTTTTTTTAAAAAAATTCTTTTAGATGATTTTCTCTAGCATATATTTTCTAAAACTTAGCAATTATAAAAGTGTTCGTGAAATTATCAAATTATTTTCTAAAAGGTCATGGCCATTTATATTCCCTTACAGCAATGCATGTGTACCAATTTGTCTGTACCTTTGCCAACCTTGCTTATATTGTTAAAATATGCTTTAGCAGTTTCAGATTTTATTTCATTGTTTTAGTTGTATTTATTTATATAATTGTAAGACATAAACTTTTAAAATTATTGTTTCCTCTTGTGAACCTGATTTATCTCATGAACATTATCTATTAGTGTTTTAATGTTATTTCATAACAACTTGTATGCTACCTTATATTAATCTTTGTCCTGCTTACTGAGATATTTTTTCAATCTTAGCAGGAATTATTTATTTTAACAAAAGATTCATAATTAACTTTCATAGTCAAGTAAAACCTAACCCTACTTAAATAATAATGTATGCACAACTTCCCATATACTCAACAATTGTAAAAGATGACATTTATAATCTATTATATCATCTATGTAGTGAATTTAGCTCAATATTCACAAGTATTATTGTAAGGGCAAAAATGTATAGAACACAAGTGTAAATCTCTTTCATGTATTAAAACTCAATTATCACAACAACCCTCTGAGCTAGGTATTATTAACACTAAATATATCAAGATTCCCAATTAATAATAGAAAATAGATCATCAGACACCATGGATACATGAGTACTTAAAGAATAATTAGACAGACAATACAAAAGTCACTTTTTGGAGGAAAATTTTAAAAGCATTTTTATTGTTGCTAGTCAGTCTTTTGTACACGAAGAAAAGAAGCAAAATTTGAACTGTAGGAATGTTGTCCTTTTCTTATCAGGTTGTAGTGGACTTTAAACATGTACCACCCTTTTTCTCATTTCAGTGTTTTATGCAGTAATAGCCATTTCTCCAATGTCTTCCTTTACTGATGCTTTACTTTGTACTGCTGATGTGCAGTAGGCAGAGAAGTTAGATATACTCTAAATCAGGCGATAGGGAAAAACTTTGAGGTCAGCCATTTGCATATAAAATACTCTCACTGGGGCTCTTTATTTTTTGTTTATAAACAAAGCTTCAGTGTGGAGAATGGTCTCACTTAATCCTCTTTCTCTGGTTTATCTGGAATGGAAAGTATTGACCTCAGTGCCACTGAGCCCTGAAAGGAAAAGAAAAAGATTTGGATCTCTTGATGTCACTGGGAGTGAATGAGAAATGAACATTTTTAACTAGGACTTTGGCAAACTTGTCAGATAAGCAAACTCCTTTTTTTATAAAAAATGCTCTTTAAAGCACAAACTGCTTTACGTAGATAAAACTGCTTGACTTCTTTTTTAGTAACATTTGCTAAATACTGCAGTCCAAAGTCAGATATTTGTAAAATATATTCTTTATTTGAGACTGAAGTCCTTGCTATTTTGTTTCTTTTCTTTAGCTGAAAACATGCTGGATACTTTTGCAGTGAATGGAATTAATTATTAATCAAGTACTGTTGGCATATTCTGTGCTATACACACTTAATAGAGGAGACACAGTTCTTGCCCTAAATACCTTTTATTCTGTGTTTGACAAAATGACAATACACTTTGTACCCAGTCCTGATAGTATTTTTACACTGCAATGTGGTGTAAGATTGTCATTTCATTTGGCTCACACCCATAGTTTCCTTTACTGGACAATTGCTTGGCAGTGTTCAAGGACATAAATTGTGAGGAGAGTTCTGAATAGTAAAAATGAAAACAAAATCAAACAAACAAAAAGCAGTGTCTGAAGTTCCCAAAGGAAGATACTGGGTCATGAGTGATGTAAGTAGGAGTAGTGAGAAAAACCTCAGCTAAAGTGGAAAGAAAGCATTGAAACAAATATGGAACAAAGAATGAGGTAGTTTTCTTACTAGAAGCTGAAGAAAGAAAAGTCTTATTCAGAGGTTGTTTTTTAATTCTTTTACCGATCTCATCCTCTGTTTATTTAATTCCTTCTGCCTATTATGTAAAGTATCATCATCTAAGAATGCTAAGCATTTTACACAGTTCTCACCATTTCTTAATGTTTAATTTAAAAATATCTTTTAAATTTAATTGCAATTTTTATCAAGACAATATCTGCTTAGTTAGGAAAATCAAACAGTAGCACAGGCATGTAATAAAAATAAAAAACCTTATCTAATGGCCACTCCCAGAGATGACAAAGTATAATTTTCAAAAGTGGTAAAATCATATCCTTCATCCAGATATAAAATGAATATACAACAAATATTTTATTTAATTCATTAATTACTAAGGCAATCATTTTTAAAGGAGAATCACAAAACTAGACAAATATGTAAGCTCATTAGAAATTATTTGCATTATTGTTAGTTTCCTGGAAATTTCTTCTTTCTCTACAGAGGTGCAAAATAGCTGAAAGTCAGTGAAAGGCAAGAGTCCTGTGGAATTTTATTATCTGGAAGGATATGCTCTGAACAATGCAGGTTCATTTATTGTTGTCACCTCATGATTTTTTTTTCAGTCCATTCCAAAGTCTTTCACAATTTTTCCTCACAGAGACCACCATGTTCTACTCTTGTAGCTATTTCCGTATTTAGCCCCATGTTTATTTTATTTTACTTATTTTATATTTTCAACTTTTATTTTAGGTTCAGGGGTACATGTGCAGGTTTGTTATATAGGTAAATGACATACCCCAGATTTTATAATAGCACACTTTATGCAGTTTTTCCATAATTGTTCAAGTTTACATATGAGTTATTGACATTTGTTATCTAGAAAATGAGGATTTAATTCTCATATGTGACTCTTCACACAAGTTCTTCTTTCCCTGTCTCAATCATCATCAAATTCTCACCAAATTTGGGCTGATTCTCTATGTGGCTGACGTTCTGGGATTTTCTTACAGAATACATATGAATTAATTCCTTCTACCTGCTTCTTCTGCTAGGGCCTCTATTTTCACGATCCTATATCTTCTCTTTTTGGAGTGAATTTTTTTTTTATTATACTTTAAGTTCTGGGACACGTGCACAATGTGCAGGTTTGTTTCATAGGTATATATGTGACATGTTGGTTTGTTGCAACCATCAACTCATCATTTATATTAGGTATTTTTCCTAATGCTATCCCTCCCCTCACCCCCCACCCCCTGACAGGCCCCTCCCTGTGTCCATGTGTTCTCATTGTTCAGCTGCCACTTATGAGTGTGAACATGTGGCGTTTGGTTTTCTGTCCTTGTGATAGTTTGCTGAGAATGATGGATTCCAGCTTCATCCATGTCCCTGCAAACGACGTGAACTCATCTTTTTTTATGGCTGCATAGTATTCCATGGTGTATATGTGCCACATTTTCTTTATCCAGTCTATTATTGATGGACATTTGGGTTGGTTCCAAGTCTTTGCTATTGTGAATATTGCCACAATAAACATATGTGTGCATGTGTCTTTATAGTAGCATGATTTATAATCCTTTGGGTAGATACCCAGTAATGAGATTGCTGGGTCAAATGGTACTTCTAGTTCTAGATCCTTGAGGAATCGCCACACTGTCTTCCACAATGGTTGAACTAATTTACACTCCCACCAACAGTGTAAAAGCATTCCTATTTCTGCACATCCTCTCCAGCATCTTCCTGACCTTTTAATGATCGCAGTTCTAACTGGTGTGAGATGGTATCTCATTGTGGTTTTGATTTGCATTTCTCTAATGACCAGTGATGATGAGCTTTTTTTCATAGGTCTGTTGGTTGCATAAATGGCTTCTTTTGAAAAGTGTCTGTTCATATCCTTTGCCCACTTGTCGATGGGGTTGTTCGTTTTTTCTCATAAATTTTTCTTGTAAATGTCTTTGTAGATTCTGGATATTAGCCCTTTGTCAGATGAATAGATTGCAAATATTTTTTCCCATTCTGTAGGTTGCCTGTTCACTCTGATGATAGTTTCTTTTGCTGTGCAGAAGCTCTTTAGTTTATTTAGATCCCATTTATCTATTTTGGCTTTATTGCTTTTGGTGTTTTAGTCATGAAGTCTTTGCCCATGCCTATGTTCTGAATGGTATTGCCTAGGTTTTCTTCTAGGGTTTTTATGGTATTAGGTCTTACGTTTCAGTCTTTAATCCATCTTGAGTTAATTTTTGTATAAGGTGTAAGAAAGGGATCCAGTTTCGGCTTTATGCATATGGCTAGCCAGTTTTCCCAACACCATTTATTAAATAGGCAATCATTTCCCCATTGCTTGTTTTTGTCAGGTTTGTCAAAGATCAGATGGTTGTAGATGTGTGGCATTATTTCTGAGGCCTCTGTTGTGTTCCTTTGGTCTATATATCATTTTTGGTACCAGTACCGTGCTGTTTTTGTTACTGTAGCCTTATAGTATAGTTTGAGGTCAGGTAGCATGATGCTTCCAGCTTTGTCCTTTTTGCTTAGGATTGTCTTGGCTATGCAGGCTCTTTTTTGGTTCCATATGAAATTTAAAGTATTTTTTTCTAATTCTGCGAAGAAAGTCAGTGGTAGCTTAATGGGGATAGCATTGAATCTATAAATTACTTTGGTTATTATAGCCATTTTCACAATATTGATTCTTCCTATCCATGAGAATGGAATGTTCTTCCATTTGTTTGTGTCCTCTTTTATTTTTTGAGCAGTGGTTTGTAGTTCTCCTTGAAGAGGTCCTTCACATCCCTTGTAACTTGTATTCCTAGGTATTTTATTCTCTTAGTGGCAATTGTGAAGGGGAGTTCACTCATGATTTAGCTCTCTGTCTGTTATTGATGTATAGGAATGCTTGTGATTTTTGCACATTGATTTTGTATCCTGAGACTTTGTTGAAGTTGCTTATCAGCTTAAGGAGATTTTGGGCTGAGACAATGGGGTTTTCTAAATATACAACCATGTCATTTGCAAACAGAAACAAATTGACTTCCTCTTTTCCTAATTGAATACCTTTTATTTCTTTCTCTTGCCTGATTGCCCTGGCCAGAACTTCCAACACCATGTTGAATAGGAGTGGTGAGAGAGGACATCCTTGTGCTGGTTTTCAAAGGGAATGCTTCCAGTATTTGCCCATTCAGTATGATATTGGCTGTGGGTTTGTCATAAATAGCTCTTATTATTTTGAGATACATTCCATCAATACCTAGTTTATTGAGAGTTTTTAGCAAAAAGGGCTGTTGAATTTCGTTGAAGGGCTTTTCTGCATCTATTGAGATAATCATGTGGTTTTTCTTATTGGTTCTATTTATGCAATGGATTACGTTTACTGATTTGCGTATGTTGAACCAGCCTTGCATCCCATGGATGAAGCCGACTTGATGGTGGTGGATAAGCTTTTTGATGTGCTGCTGGATTCGGTTTGCCAGGTTTTTTTTTTTTTTTTTTTTTTTGAGACAGAATCTTGCACTGTTGCCCAGGCTGGAGTGCAGTGGTGCGATCTTGGCTCACTGCAAGCTCCGCCTCCTGGGTTAACGCCATTCCCCTGCCTCTGCCTCCCAAGTAGCTGGGACTACAGGCTCCCGCCACCACGCCCTAATTTTTTGTACTTTTAGTAGAGATGGGGTTTCACTGTGTTAGCCAGGATGGTCTCCATCTCCGACCTTGTGATCTGCCTGCCTCAGCCTCCCAAAGTGCTGGGATTACAGGCGTAAGCCACCACACCCGGACTTTGCCAGTTTTTCATTCAGGATTTTCTTATCTATATCATCAGGGTTATTGGCTTAAAATTCTCTTTTTTTGTTGTGTCTCTGCTAGGTTTTGGTATCAGGATGATGCTGGCCTCATAAAATGAGTCAGGGAGGATTCCTTATTTTTCTATTGATTGCAATAGTTTCAGAGGGAATGGTATCAGCTCCTCTTTTACCTCTGGTAGAATTCAGCTGTGAATCCATCTGGTCCTGGACTTTTTTTGGTTGGTAGGCTATTAATTATTGCCTCAATTTCAGAACCTGTTACTGGTCTATTCAGAGATTCGACTTCTTCCTGGTTTAGTCTTGGGAGGGTGTATATGTCTAGGAATTTATCCATTTCTTCTAGATTTTCTAATTTATTTGCATAGAGTTGTTTATAGTGTTCTTTGATGGTAGTTTGTATTTCTGTGGGATCTGTGGATGATACCCTCTTTATCATTTTTTATTGCATCTATTTGATTCTTCTCTCTTTTCTTCTTTATTAGTCTTGCTAGTGGTCTATTTTGTTGATCTTTTCAAAAAAGCCAGCTCTGGATTCATTGATTTTTTTGAAGGGGTTTTTGTGTCTCTATCTCCTTCAGTTCTGTTCCGATCTTAGTTATTTCTTGTCTTCTGCTAGCTTTCGAATTTGTTTGCTCTTGCTTCTTTAGTTCTTTTAATTGTGATGTTAGGGTATCGATTTTAGATCTTTCCTGCTTTCTCTTGTGAGCATTTAGTGCTATAAATTTCCCTCTACACACTGCTTTAAATGTGGCCCAGAGATTCAGGTACATTGTGTCTTTGTTCTCGTTGGTTTCAAAGAACATCTTTATTTCTGCCTTCATTTTGTTATTTACCCAGTAGTCATTCAGGAGCAGGTTGTTCAGTTTCCATGTAGGTGTGCGGTTTTGAGTGGGTTTCTTAATCCTGAGTTCTAATTTGATTGCACTGTGGTCTGAGAGACAGTTTGTTGTGATTTCTGTTCTTTTACATTTCCTGAGGAGTGTTTTACTTCCAATTATGTGGTCAATTTTAGAATAAGTGCAATGTGATGCTGAGAAGAGTGTATATTCTGTTGTTGTGGTGGAGAGTTCTGTAGATGTCCGTTAGGTCCACTTCGTCCAGAGCTGAGTTCAAGTCCTGGATATCCTTGTTAATTATCTGTCTCATTGATCTGTCTAATAAAGACAGTGGGGTGTTAAAGTCTCCCACTATTATTGTGTGGGAGTACAAGTCTCTTTGTAGGTCTCTAAGAACTTGCTTTATGAATCTGGGTGCTCCTGTATTGGGTGCATATATATTTAGGATAGTTAGCTCTTCTTGTCGAATTGATCCCTTTACCATTATATAATGGCCTTCTTTGTCTCTTTTGATCTTTGTTGGTTTTAAGTCTGTTTTATCAGAGACTAGTACTGCAAGCCCTGATTTTTTTTTTTTTTTTTGCTTTCCATTTGCTTGGTAGATCTTCCTCCATCCCTTTGTTTTTTATTTATTTATTTATTTTTTGAGATGGAGTTTCACTCATGTTGCCCAGGCTGGAGTGCGATGGCACAATCTTGGCTCACTGCAACCTCTGCCTCCTGGGTTCAAATGATTCTTCTGTCTTAGCCTCCTAAGTAGCTGGGATTACAGGCATGTGCCACAATGCCCAGCTAATTTGGTATTTTTAGTAGAGATGGGGTTTCTCCATGTTGGTCAGGCTGGTCTCGAACTCCTGACCTCAAGTGATCTGCCCACCTCAGCCTCCAAAAGTGCTGGGATTACAGGTGTGAGCCATCGCACCTGGCCCCATCCCTTTATTTTGTGCCTATGTGTGTCTTTGCATATGAGGTGGGTCTCCTGAATACAGCACACAGATGGGTCTTGACTCTTTACTCAATTTGCCAGTCTGTGTCTTTTAATTGGCGGCATTTAGCCCATTACATTTAAGGTTAATATTGTTATGTGTGAATTTGATCCTGTCATTATGATGCTAGCTGGTTATTTTGCCTGTTAGTTGATGCAGTTTCTTCATAGTGGTGATGGTCTTTACAATTTTTAAAGTGGCTTGTACCAGTTGTTCCTTTCAATGTTTAGTGCTTCCTTCAGGATCTCTTATAAGGCAGGCCTGGTGGTGACAAAATCTCTCAGCATTTGCTTGACTGTAAAGGATTTTATTTCTCCTTCACTTATGAAGCTCTTAGTTTGGCTGGATATGAAATTCTGGGTTGAAAATTCTTTTCTTTAAGAATGTTGAATATTGGCCCCCACTCTCTTCTGGCTTGTAGGGTTTCTTCTGAGAGATCCGCTGTTAGTCTGATGGGCTTCCCTTTGTGGGTAACCTGACCCTTCTCTCTGGCTGCCCTTAACATTTTTTCCTTCATTTCAACCTTGGTGAATCTGGCAATTACGTGTCTTGGGGTTGCTCTTCTCGAAGAATATCTTCGTGGTGTTCTCTGTATTTCCTGAATTTGAATGTTGGCCTGCCTTGCTAGGTTGGGGAAGTTCTCCTGGATAATATCCTGAAGAGTGTTTTATAACTTCGTTCCATTCTCCCCGTCATCTGCAGGTACACCAAGCAAACATAGATTTGGTCTTTTCACATTGTCCCATATTTCTTGGACGCTTTGTTTGTTTCTTTTCACTCTTTTTTCTCTAATCTTGTCTTCTCTCTTTATTTCATTAATTTGATCTTCATTCACTGATATCCTTTGTTCTGCTTGATCTATTCAGCTATTGAAGCTTGTGTATGCTTCACAAAGTTCTCATGCTGTGTTTTTCAGCTCCATCAGGTCATTTACTTTCTTCTTTACACTGACTATTCTAGTTAGCCATTCGTCTAACCTTTTTTTTTTTAATGTTTTTAGCTTCCTTGCAAGGGGTTAGAACATGCTCCTTCAGCTCAGAGAAGTTTGTTATAACCCACCTTCTGAAGCCTACTTCTGTCAACTTGTCAAACTCATTCTCCATCCAGTTTTGTTCCCTTGCTGGCAAGGAGTTGTGATCCTTTGGAGGAGAAGAGGCTTTCTGGTTTTTGGCATTTTCATCCTTTCTGTGCTGGTTTCTCCCCACCTTTGTGGTTTATCTACCTTTGGTCTTTGTTGTTGGTGACCTAACGATGAGGTTTTGGTGTGGATGTCTTTTTTGTTGATGTTGATGCTATTCCTTTCTGTTTGTTAGTTTTCCTTCTAACAATCAGGATCCTCAGCTGCAGGTCTGTTGGAGTTTGCTGGAGGTCCACTCCAGACCCTGTTTGCCTGGGTATCACCAGCAGAGGCTGCAGAACAGCAAATATTGTGCCTGATCCTTCCTCTGGAACCTTTGTCCCAGAGGGGCACCTGCCAGATGCCAGCCAGAGCTCTCCTGCATGAGGTGTCTGTTGGCCCCTACTGGGAGGTGTCTCCCAGTCAGGCTACATGGGGGTCAGGGACCCACTTGAGGAGGAAGTCTGTCTGTTATCAGAGCTCGAACTTCATGCTGGGTGAACCATTGCTCTCTTCAGAGCTGTCAGGCAAGGACGTTTAAGTCTGCAGAAGCTGTGCCCACAGCTGCCCTTACCCCAGGTGCCCTATCCCAGGGAGATGAGGGTTTTACCTACAAGTCCCTGACTGGGGCTGCTGCCTTTTGTTCAGATATGCCCTGCCCATAGAGGTGGAATCCAGAGAGGCAGTCAGCCTTGCTGAGCTGTGGTGGGCTCCACCCAATTCGTTCTTCCCAGCAGCTTTGTTTACACTGTGAGCGTAAAACTGCCTACTCAAGCCTCAGCAATGGTGGACGCCCCTCCCCCTGACAAGTTCCAGCACCCCAGGTTGATCTCAGACTGCTGCACTAGCAGCAGGAATTTCAAGCCAATGGATCTTAGCTTGCTGGGCTCTGTGGGTGCGGGACCCACCGAGCCAGGCACCAGAGAGAATCTCCTGTTCTGCCAGTTGTGAAGACCATGGGAAAAGCACAGTATTTGGGCAGGAGCGTACTGTTCCACTTGGTAAAGTCTCTCAAGGCTTCCCTTGGCTAAGAAAGGGAAATCCCCCGACCCCTTGCCCTTCCTGGGTGAGGCAATGCCCCGCCCTCCTTTGGCTCACCCTCTGTGGGGTGCACCAACTGTCCAACCAGTCCCAATGAGATGAATCAGGTACCTCATTTGGAAATGCAGAAATCACCTGTCTTCTGTGTCAGTCTCGCTGGGAGCTGCAGACCAGAGCTGTTCTTATTTGGCCATCTTGCGGGAAATCCTTTCTACTTTTGCATATTAACTTGTCCACTTCTGTCAGATTAGTTACAATTTAAAGTATTTTGCTTATTGTAGAACTAAAGAGATAATAACAACTGATGAGGCAAGATCTAAGCAAGTATGAGGTTTTCTCAGGTTCCTGAAATCATCCCATATGATATTACACCTACTCTGCCTATATGTGACACTTAAGATGTGGAGACATCTGAGATGTCTGAAAAGGAAACATCTGAGAAAGAGATCTCTGAGGCAGAAAGTAACTATTCCTTCCCATGCTGGTAATGTGTCTCAGAAGAAGTGGTCATTAAAATGCTTTTCAATACGCATTTTGAATTTTTCCATTTCAACATTAGATATCCATAAACTCCTCCTTTTTCAGAGGATCATTTCAGAAAAATGAATTTCACAAAATTAACCCCAACAAGAGTGGAAATGAGCTGCTGTTCCTTTGGGCCATGTATTATAGAAATACAAATGCCGAGAATAGATTCTTGGAAAGGGAAGATAGCAAGGTGCTTCACCTATTCATACCCAGGCCAGAGATAATAAAAATAATTAGATAGACTCTTACAGGGATTCTTTACTCTTAATTAGGAGCATAAAAAGAAAACTGAACAGGGTGTATTTGGTCTGAAGATAACAAGCAAAAATTTTCAGGGAAACAGTGAAACTTCTTATCCTGAAAAACGTAAAATTATTCTGAAGAATGTACTGAAAATTATACAATAATAAGTGATATTGCCTTGAAGATATAATGAAACAAATGTATTCACTCTTTTTTCTCTTATATTTGTGACTTAAGAATATATAAAAGTTTGAGTGCTTTTCCACAATAGCCTCTCCAGCCTCAGCTTCTTTCCATCACTGTGCTTCCAGACCTTGCCCTGAGCATTCCATCTGCACCATGTGAAAGACAAGGGGCAGGGACTGGGGGCAGTCCTATTGTGAGTGGATCTAAGGAAGCCTAACTTGTTTGGTAGTTATCATCAACCACAGGTAATTAGCATGTGGGAAACACAACTCCATATAGGATCCCCTCTGGCATGCTCTCCATTTTATTATGAATACAAATCTGGGGTTGTTAATGTGCAATTCCAAACAAATATTTAGTGTTGTTTGTAATTATAGAGCTGTTGAATGTATTTATTTTGTTGTTTAATAGAAAGAAGTCTTGGGAGAGAAGTGTTATAAAAATCATCATGGAGAAATGTTGGTAGTATAATTAGTAAATTATTAGCTACCAGAGGCATTATCATCATTTCACAAATCTTGTAGGACTTACTTTTTGGTTTTAAGTTGCTTTCTTTACAAATCTTGATTCTAGTTTCAAAGGTGCTTGAATCTTGTTCAGAAAACTAGTACTATTCCATAATATTTCCTTTTGCTTTCTCCTGCAAAAAGGAAGCTCTCTGGGTTTCCAGAGTGGTATCACACATCTCATGTTTTACCTGCTCTTTTAGATATTTTCTTTAGCTACAGTGTTTGTTCATCCTTTCAATAGAGAGAGAGAGAGGAAAGTTGTGTTGGCTGCTATTGACTTAGTATCAGATAGATATTCAGCTGCATTTTGTTAGAAAGCAGTGCAGGTTCCTGTCCAAATATTTCACTGGGGATTTATTACACTCAAAGTACACCAGGAGCAAGAAATTTTTCTGCGTTTGATATGGTCACCCCTGCCACGGCACAAGCCAGGAGACCCTAACGATACTACCGGTGTCCAACTGCTTGAATGAATGGATCCTAGCTTTATGAATATGATTCCAGGAGTTACAAACTCGCTTATCAATGTGAAAGAAGTAAGAATAAACCAGGATCCCAGTGTTGGAGAGCCAGGAAAGTATTCATTGAGAAAATGGCATGAGGTAGCTTTTGAGCAACGATGAGACATTTCCCAGGCAGAAAACACAGGCTGAATCTATCCTGGGCAAAGGAAGTGGTGTGAGAAAAGCAGGGAGGTATGAAACAGCATGGCACATTGAGGGAAACAGAAGCCATTTAATGAAGCTGGAAAGCAGAGGGTAGGAGAGAGTTAGCAAGAAAACAGGCCAAAAAACTAAATGAAGACCAGATCATGCAGTTCTCATAAAATGGGCTACTGGAATGTTAAAACATGGAAATACTTCCAATTGGCAAGCAAGTGTGTCTGTGTGTGTGTGTGTGTTGTGTGGTGTGTGTGTGTGTGTGTGTGTGTGTGATAACCTACAGGTCACATTTGACAGGCTTTCAAATTAACCCACTTTGGAGATGTCTTGTGATTCATGGAAACATCCCATCTCTGAATAAAGAATCTTATTGTGAGTTCCCCATATTGTTGACATACTGATTAATGCATGACCTGCTGACATTGAAAAGGACACTGATTTGTTTATGAATCATGAAGCTTTCCTGATTAATTTGCAGGTAAACATTTTAGCTTATCTATTTTCATCTATTAATACATGTTACAAGATGTAGCTGATGATTGTAACTTCAATATAGTACCCTCCAATGAAAAGGACAGCTCCAGTATCATGAGTCCTCTTCCCTTCTAAACTTTCCTCTAAAAGTCTTCCAATTTGTAGCAGACTCTGGAACTCCCAATTTTGTTGGTGTCTTCCTGGGTTGATACTCGCATTTGGGTTCAAATAAACCTTTATCAAATTACTTCTATCTCAATAGTTTTAGTTTTGGTTGAACTGTATAAAATCATATATTATATATAATTTATATAGAGTTTATAATGCAGAATTTAGCTTATTTAGAAAATAAATTGGAATATATTTGTTTTCTATTGCATTATATATTAGTAGTACCATAAATTTTGTTGAATGTTGTTAATATCCTCTGCTCTTAGCCATACCAGGAGTAGGGTGACTAAGCCTCTACCATGCCATCTTTTAACATTTTAAACACAGTAATATGTGCACATGGGTCACCCTTCAAACTTTTTTAGTAAAGGTTTGTAGAGAAAAGCATTAATTTCCCAAAGGTACTGTCGAAGGGATGTTTCCTAACTCCCAGTCTCCCTTCCAACCTCCAGACCTGCTTCCTTAGGACAAGCATATCTAACTCTTTCAGTAGTTAATTGAGAGAATACTCAGACAGTAAGAAGAATTTTTGCATGGTTGTTAAAATATATAAAATTATTTCCTTTCTGTATCTCAATGAACTGAAACCCCTCACTATGTGTTTACCTAAATAATTACAACATGGAGATATGTTGCAGAACAACATATTTTAAATAAATGTGCAAACATTGATAAAAATTTGGGGCCAATGAAAACCAATATGTGCCCTAATTACATAGTACACAACACTTACTGAAGTTCTGTGTGTGCCAGGGACTACATGAGGCATCTTATCTTTAATATCTCATTTAATATTTGTAAGTATCACATGAACTAGACTTTATCAGCACATTTAAAGGTCATAAAATCTGTTCATTGTATAGTAAGTCATTACTCAATTGTTGGTCTGTCAATTCCTTAGAACTGTTCCATTTTCCAACACTATCCAAATGGTCAACAGTATGTCCACAATTGGTTGATCTAATTCCTCTCCCAGGACCCTAGACCCTTTCTAGGACCAGAGAGATCTCTGTACTATTTGGCTTCTGCCAGTCTTGCTTCCCCAGAGTTGGACCCTGTCCCATATCACCCACATGAATGGAAGAGCCTGCAATTTTCTGGGTATTTTCTAACATAATTACCTGCCCTCGTGACTCACAAAGAGAGTTTGCACCTGGGATGTCTCTCTTGTTTCTGTTCACCAGATTGGACATCTTTGTATTGATGATAGCAAAAACCTCACCACCTTACTTGAGGATTTTTGTATTACCCAGTTACCTTCTCTGCATCTCACCTCTGAGTAGGGTTCTTTTCTACAGATCAGTCCTATATCTTCCATTCAGTGTTAGTTTCTCCCAAGGCCCTGTCAGCCACAGAGACTGACATATGAGAATGTTTCATGTTCAAACTCATCCACGTCTCACCAAGCAGAAACTGCCACATGTCACATGCTAAAGGTATTGTTTTGCTTATCTTTTCTCACAATTAATGATTATTTTATTGCCCGTAAACTCCTTTCAAAAATTGTTGACTTTTCACTTACTTTTGAATGTCCTATTGTTCTTTTCCTACAGGTGGTTCAGATGAACATATTAGGGTTTGTTGATTCACACATTTCCTCTAGGGTTTCCTAATCTGGAAGAGTTTTGTTGTCTTCAAGTGATGTTTGTTTTATTTTGTGTGTGTGTGTGTGTGTACGTGTGTGTGTGTATACACAGTGGTGCAGTCCCATGGTCCTGTCTTGATCTTAAGCTTCTAGAAGACAGGAGTTTTACAGTTTAAATGATGCATCATGTTTATGATGACCTGAATGCATAGGAGAGGATTAATTTTTTTTTTTTTTTTAGATGGAGTTTAGCTCTTGTTGCCCAGGCTGGAGTGCAGTGGCACCATCTCGGCTCACTACAACCTCCTTCTCCCAGGTTCAAGCAATTCTCCTGTCTCAGCCTCCTAAGTAGCTGGGATTACAGGTGGCTGCCACTGCATCTGGCTAATTTTGTGTATTTTTAGTAGAGACAGTGTTTCATCATGCTGGCCAGGCTGGTCTCGAACTCCTGAACTCAGGCAATCCACCTGCCTCGTCCTCCCAAAGTTCTGGGATTTCAAGCATGAGCCACCACGCCCATCCAGGATTAGTATTCTTACCCTGGCTCTACCATTAATCAACCCCGGGTCTGTTAGGGTCCCTTAAATTCTTCTGATGTAAGTTTCCTTGTGTACAGAATAAGATATTTCTCTCCCACCCTCCTAATTTCCCTCCAGCAATACAGTCCAGGCCTTTACCATAAGAGTTTCTCCAAAACATTTTTATGAGCATCAGCAAATTGGAAGGCTTAAATACCAAGTCACAACAAAGATGGTTAAATATTATATTAACCATTTCTATTATTTATATGTTTCAACTTCTTTCAAAAGCATCTGGCTTTCCAGAGCTCAGGTTTTGTTCCCCCCTTGTACCATGTGGTTCAGGAACCATATTTTTAGTTTTGCTAAACTGCTAAGCAGGTAGCACAGAGGATTTAGGCTAACTGATAAGCTAAAAGTAAAGTTGCAGTTGCTGGTGCCAAAAAAAAAAAAAGTTTCTCCTTGATTTCCTCTCATAATTCTCCTAAGAAGACATACAATCTCCAGACAGGCTGGTTTAAAGAAAAAACCTTTTGTCAAGACAAAACACCCGCCCTGGAACCAGCTGAACAGATTGTGCAGTTCTACTCCATGACAGCTGTAAGAAAGAAGCTTGGAAACTGCTAATTCAATCAAGAGCGGTTTAATGCAATTTGAAAGATTTCCAATATAAATCGGGCCATGTTGCTATTTGGAAAAAAATGTCCCTTACAGAAATGCATAGCTTAAGGACAAGCACTGGCAGACTGAAAATTTTGCGGGGACTCTTGATGAAATTGAGAGTTAATAGACCTGGTCTCCATCCAAAGCAAATCTATAATGAATTGGAATGAAGTAATTAGAAAAGTATCTAATGGGGAAAGCCAGAAACTTTACTACATATAAAGGCAAAACATTTGATGAATTGAAAATTCCACTAAACAGTTAAGCCCATGCACTATCCTCTTCAGATTTCCAGGCCCCAAACCAAAGAGTAAATCTGTTTGGTTTACACAATATAAGATAATAAAACCACTGGAGAAGTCAGTGACTCATGATCTGGGATCAAGAAAGAATAATAAATGAAAAAATAGACTCCTTCTAGACAAAAGTACTGAGTATCTCAGACATGCAGGGGAAGTTCCTGAGATTGAATTGTCTCTCTTTAGTTGATTAGCAAATACCTTAACCCAGGAATTGCAAATGTAAAGGTCAAATTGGTAAAAATAAATGAGATAAGTATAGAAATGGTGGGACCTGCTAGCACAAAGCCTGTCTCAAAGTGACAGCCAATACTTAGTTCCAGCTGTTCATGGTCAAGGGTGTATTTGTCCCCAGTGTGCCAGATCTTCTGAAATTTTAAGAGAAACTAGGAACCCATAATTTCTGTGAAACATTCAAATTTTAAACGTTGGCTTAAATTTAGAATAAAACAAAAACTTTTTTTTGAGTGAAACCAAGCACACTTGTGGCCCTCTGGCTGTGACTGCTCCAGCCTCTCTACTTCACAGAACTCATTCACAATAGGGACGACGCCTTCTTCACATTTCTTGCAAAAGAAATTTCTAGGTTTGAAAGCGGTGGGGAAAGAATTTGCATGTTCTAATACTTTTGTTGTATATTGTCATATTGCCTCAGCAACTGCAAAACAGTTCATACTCCCACAAGCAGTGTAAAAAATAGCTACTCTTCATTCTCTGAACAATACTGGTACAAATGTGCATATATTTTTAAATTCATTAATGATTTTTTAAAATTAAAGCATCCTTATTTCTACTTATAATTTTTTCTTTTTTTATTATACTTTAAGTTCTAAGGTACATGTGCAGAACGTGCAGGTTTGTTACATAGGTATACATGTGCCATGGTGGTTTGCTGCACCCACCAACCCGTGATCTACACTAGGTATTTCTCCTAATGCTATCCCTCCCCTAGCCTCCACCCACTGACAGGCCCCACTGTGTGATGTTCCCCTCCCTGTGTCCATGTGTTCTCATTGTTCAACTCCCACTTATGAGTGAGAACATGCAGTGTTTGGTTCTCTGTTCTTGTGACAGTTTGTTGAGAATGATGGTTTCCAGCATTATCCATGTCCCAGCAAAGGACATGAACTCATCCTTTTTTATGGCTGCATAGTATTCCATGGTGTATATGTACCGCATTTTCTTTTCCAGTCTATCATTGATGGGCATTTGGGTTGGTTCCAAGTCTTTGCTGTTGTGAACAGTGCCACAATAAACATACGTGTGCATGTGTCTTTATAGTAGAATGATTTACAATCCTTTGGGTAGATACCCAGTAATGGGATTGCTGGGTCAAATGATATTTCTAGTTCTAGAACCTTGAGGAATCGCCACACTGTCTTCCACAATAGTTGAACTAATTTACACTCCAACCAACAGTGTAAAAGCATTCCTACTTCTCCACATCCTCTCTAGCATCTGTTGTTCCCTGACTTTTTAATAATCACCATTCTAACTGGTGTGAGATGGTATCTCATTGTGGTTTTGATTTGCATTTCTCTAATGATCAGTGATGATGAGCTTTTGTTCATATGTTTGTTGGCCGCATAAATGTCTTCTTTTGAGAAGTGTCTGTTCATATCCTTCTCTCACTTTTTGATGGGGCAGTTTATTTTTTTCTTGTAAATTTGTTAAAGTTCTTTGTAGATTCTGGATATTAGCTCTTTGTCAGATGGATAGATTGCAAAATTTTTCTCCCATTCTGTGGTTGGCTGCTCACTCTGATGATAGTTTCTTTTGCTGTGCAGAAGCTCTTTAATTTAATTAGATCCCATTTGTCTATTTTGGCTTTTGTTGCCATTGCTTTTGGGGTTTTAGTCATGAAGTCTTTGCCCATGCCTATGTCCTGAATGGTATTGCCGAGGTTTTCCTCTAGGGTTTTTACGTTTTTAGGTCCTACATTTAAGTCTTTAATCCATATTGAGTTAATTTTTGTGTAAGGTGTAAGGAAGGGATCCAGTTTCAGCTTTCTGCATGTGGCTAGCCAGTTTTCCCAACAGTATTTATTAAACAGGGAATCCTTTCCCCATTGCTTGTTTTTGTCAGGTTTGTCAAAGACCAGATGGCTGTAGATGTGTGGCATTATTTCTGAGGCCTCTGTTCTGTTCCATTGGTCTATATATCAGTTTTGGTACCCGTACCATGCTGTTTTTGTTACTGTAGCCTTATGGTATAGTTTGAAGTCAGGTAGTGTGATGCCTCCATCTTTGTCCTTTTTGCTTAGGATTGACTTGGCTATGTGGGCTCTTTTTTGGCTCCATATGAATTTTAAAGTTTTTTTTCCAATTCTATGAAGAAAGTCAATGGTAGGTTAATGGGGATAGCATTGAATCTATAAATTACTTTGGACAGTATTGCCATTTTCACAATATTGATTCTTCCTGTCCATGAGCTTGGAATGTTTTTCCATTTGTTTGTGTCCTCTCTTATTTCCTTGAGCAGTGGTTTGCAGTTCTCCTTGAAGAGGTCCTTCACATCCCTTGTAGGTTGTATTCCTAGGTATTTTATTTTCTTAGTAGCAATTGTGAATATGAGTTCACTCATGATTTGGCTCTCTGCTTCTCTTTTATGGAGTATAGGAATGACTGTTGTTTTTGCACACTGATTTTGTATCCTGAGACTTTGCTGAAGTTGCTTATCACCTTAAAGAGATTTTGGGCTGAGACAATGGGGTTTTCTAAATATACAATTATGTCATCTGCAAACAGAGACCATTTGACTTCCTCTTTTCCTAATTGAATACCCTTTATTCCTTTCACTTGCCTGATTGCCCTGGCCAGAACTTGCAATACTATGTTGAATGGAGTGGTGAGAGAAGGCATCCTTGTCTTGTGCCAGTTTTCCCAGCGAATGCTTCCAGTTTTTGCCTATTCAGTATGATATTGGCTGTGGGTTTGTCATAAACAGCTCTTATTGTTTTGAGATTCATTCCATCGATACCTAGTGTATTGAAAGTTTTTAGCATAAAGGGCTGTTGAATTTCGCTGAATGCCTTTTCTACATCTATTGAGATAATCATGTGTTCTTTGTCATTGGTTCTGTTTATGTGATCCATCACAATTATAATTTTTTAAAAGAATACTCATTGGAATGTAGAAAAACTAGATGAGAAAACCTTCAAATCTTTCATCTTTCCAAATGGCTCCCTTTGGATATATTTACACAGACACACACAGACACACACACACACAAATACACAGATGAATTTTATATCAATGAGGTTATTTTGTAAATATTATTTTGTTATCTGCTCTTTTTCACTAAATAATGTGTCAGAAAATTAATTCTGTGTCACTACCAGTATAGCTATACCTTATTATTTTAATAGACTTTAAAGAATTCCAGGATAAATATCTTTACTCAAATAAATTAAAATACAGAATATTACAGCTGTTTATTTAAGCAGACCCTGTTTTGGACATTAAGCTTGTTTGCAATAGTTCACTGTTAAAACAATGTAACAATAAACATTCATATAGTAAACATATTTAACCACTTGGCAATTATCTCCTTGGAATTATTTCCTGAGTCATGGTGAATATATATTTAAATTTTGGTGTACATTGTCAAATGAGTTTTTAAAAGGTGTGCATTAATTTACATTCTTACCAACAAGATAGGATACATTCACAATTTTGTGCTTTTCTATATCTTTTTGTTCTTTAGGGGGAGGTGGGTCCATCTGATAGATAGAAAGTATGTAATCAATTTTGTATTTATTTCATTTTCTCTATTAATTAGCCAAGTTGAATTTTTAAATATTATATTAAAATTGATTTTTTTGTAAATTGCCTGAATGTTTTGTGCTTTTAATTTTAGAGTTATTTGCATACTATACTAGAATTATCAGTTTATTGTCCGTCAAATGTGTAGCAAATATTATTTTCCAAATTTAGTATTTGTATTACAATTTTGTTAGTCATACATTTTGCCATAGAGAAATTTAATTGTTATTTACTTATTTTTATAATTAAGTCTACCAAAGTTCCTTTGCTCTCTACATTTAGTTATATATTAAAAAGCCTTTCCTCATCTAAATTCCACTTTAAAACTTACCATATCTTGGGGAAAGATTTATGACCAAGTTCTGAAAGGTAACTGCAACAAAAACAAAAATTGGCAAGTGGGATCTAATTAAAGTTCTGCATAGCAAACGAAACTATCAACAGAGTGAACAAACAACCTATAGAATAGGAGAAAATACTCATAAACCACATGTCTGACAAATGTCTAATATCCAGAATCCATAAGAAATTTAAACAATTCAGCAAGCAAAAAACAACCCCGTTAAAAATGGGCAAAATACATGAACAGGCACTTCTCAAAAGAAGACACACAGTGGCAAAGAAACACATAAAAAAAAAGTTCCACATGACTAATCATCAGAGAAATGCAAATCAAAACTACAATGAGATACTATCTCACACCAGTCAGAATGGTTATTACAATAAAGTCAAAAAACAACAGATGCTGGAAAGGCTGTGGAGAAAAGGGAACACTTATACACTGTTGGTTGGGAATGTTAGTTCAGACAGTGTGGAAAGCAGTTTGGAGATTTTAGCCAGTACAGAAAGCAGTTTGGAGATTTTTCAAAGATAAGATGGAACTACCATTTGACCCAGGAATCCTGTTATTAGGTATATTTCCAAAAGAAAATAAATTGTTTTACCAAAAAAACACAAGCACTCATATATTTATTGTACCACAATTCACAATAGCAACAATGTGGAATGAACCTATGTACTTAATGGTAGCAGGCTGAGTAAAGAAAATTTAGTACATATACACCATGGAATACTATGCAGCCATAAAATAGAACAAAATCATGTGTTTTGCAGCAACATGGATGCAGTTGGAGCCCATTGTTCTAAGTGAATTAACACAGGAACAGAAAACAAAATAACACGTTATCACTTATAAGTGGGAGTAAACATTGGGTAATTGTAGACATGATGATGGCAACAATAGACATTGGGGGCTATTGAGGAGTGAAGGAAGGCAAGGTTGAAACACTACCAGGAACTATACTCAGTACCTGAGTGAAAAGATCAGCTGTACGCTAGACCTCATCATAATGCAATGTACTCAAGTAACCTGCACATGAAATCCTACCCCCAAATCTAAAATAAAAGTTGAAATTATAAAATAAAATAAATTATCAAAAAACCCTCATATTTTTTCCTATAATTTTGGTTTTAATATTCACATTTAAATCTATATTCTTTTTTAAATTTAAAATCTGTTATATTGAAATCTCTTTTATCCCATATATGTCTATTACAGTACAACATTAATAATTACTAAAATTTTACACAGTATATTTTACAAATGAGAAAGAGACGACTAAAAGTTTTTCAGTTTTTCAGAATTTCCTGATTTCTCAAAAATGTATACTTTTGGCTGAACTTTAGAAACACTTTGTTTTGTCAGAAAAAATTGTATCTTTTTCACTGAATTTTTATCGTACTTAGAGATTAATAGTCATATATTTATGACTTTATAATATTTTATTTTTTAATAGTATTATATTTTATTTTTTAATAGTGTTTATTATAAACATCATATATTTATAGTGTTGCATCTTTCTTGCCAAGAATAAGTTATATTTCTCCACTGATAGACATATGTATATCCCTTAATACATTTTAATAATTTTCTTTATATCAGTTGTATATGTTTCGGTATGTATTTGCTGAGTTGTTTTGTTATTTGGAATGACATATTTTACAATTTTATTTAAAATTTGCAGTTGGTTATTTTTAGTTAATAAGAACCTTGTTTTGAATCTTTTAAACTTTTTCTGTCACAATTAAGTGGTTTCACATATATATATATATATTTTTATTTGAGCTAATTTAATCAGCAGATGGTATAGTTGATATAACCACACAAACGACTTTCAAATATATGGAAAGTGATTTTAATTATATATTGACTACCCATATTAAAATTCTGTAAAATTAATTATAGCTACCATTCATGATCCAGTAAAGTCAGTAATTTACAAAGAAAGCAAGAAAGAAACTTACACACACACACATAATATATGCATATACATACAGTCTATTTGGCTCTCTATTTCTTAATAAATATCATCCAAATTGCTCTTCTCAGTTGTGTAAGGGTGAAATGATGAAATTAAGTTATCTTTGTTTCATAAAAACAAGGGAGGCAGCTACCTCCCCATTCTGTCCTTAGAGTGTCTGTTTATAAACATAATAGGCTTAATATGAGGCCTGAACTTTTTATTTTAAAGTGCAAAGTCTTGGGCCTTTCTGTTCTTTGGAACTGCAAATATACTTCCAAATCAATTCATGATTTCATTATGGACTTTACAGAGGACAATCACCAGGTGCATGTATTTATCTTTCAAGAAGATACAAGACATTTTCATTGTGTTTTTCTTCTACTTTACTCAGTAAATTTGTGTGAAATTCTATCCAGAGTTTGTAGTCACTTTCATGCTACCTTACATCCATATAAATCTGACAATGCTTCTCAATAATAAATTGTGTTCTTTCTTCTGTATTGGTACAAAATAATTTTTTTTTCTTGGCAATATTGTTTTATTTTCCCAGCATTTGATAAGATATGCATGCAGTGGCTTTAAAACGAACATCACATGTAAGAGTAATTTGTGGAATCAGAACATTAGATCCAATCAACATTATTTCCAATTCTTCTAATAATATAATCTAATAAATGTGATCAATTTCACTTTGGAGTAGTCATTTTTTCTTTTATAGTATAATGCTCCTTTTGATTTTGTTACTGTGTATATGTGCACATCCTTGTTGTAAATGTATCCTAAATAACATAAACTTTGCCTTTTATATTTTCTGTTCCAGAAAATATTATTGAAAGTTAATGATGTGTTTTCCTGCAGCACTAATTAAGTACTTGCATAAGCCAAAGCAACATCATTATTGCTAAAATCCCATATTTTATCTTCTCAAAGAATTCCTCTTGGCCCAGACAAATAACTGAAACTTCCAAAGCAGTGCCAAATTCAGATGAACCCTGTGGATCACATAATGAATTTTTAATTGCATTGGGTAAAACAAATGCCTGGGAGCACTCAAAAGAAAAACAAAAATGTCTGGGTGGGTTTAAAACAAATGAGGAGAAAAATCAAATGACACAAAAAAGATTAATGATTAAAAGAAGCTAACTCTGCATTTTTTTTTATCACTTTGGGGCTCTGAGCTGTCATCTTGAGATCACAGACCTTTGGAATATGGCTCCCATGGTGAATATGATGGGTTTGATACTGCAAAACTTTGCCCAAGTAGCAATAGTTTTTTAATCCTCTCTCACTAGGAGATCTCAAGGAGAACCACATTCCATCCCTAGACAACACTGTTTGTTTTCTTTCCCCTTCTTTCTTTCATAATTACTAAAAGTAAACAGTGAGTATCAGAATACAGTACTATGTTATAGGAGTTAGATACTCACAATTGGGAAAAACAACTTCATATGATGGAGCTAACTAGAATTTATTCACACATTAAATTAGTTGATTACATATATCTTTCAAAAAATAATACACTTTGAAACATGACTTATGTGTATATTATTAATGAGGTGGGTGTGTACTCCTCAATATTACTAGGCAACCAGGAAACTATCAATTCGCATGTAATGAGTACAATTAATGCAAAATAGGTTGAAATCCTGAAAATGACCACACGCACTGGAGTCATATTAAAATAATGGAGGAGATTTTGTAATCAAAGAAGAGATACAGATTGTCATATACTAGCACTATTAAAAATGGGGATCTATCAAAAAATGGTAATTATGTAGGCCCCATTACTATCCAGAAAATATTTTTGCTAACTAACTGATATTAGGATTCCTGTTTCTTTTCCAAGTATTTTTACAGGAAACAATGATGTACCAAGTTGCCACAACATTATAAGAACTTTCTTTAAAGTTTTCAACCACCTTTTGCTTTCTGATATTGTTTTTCCATTGTTGGAGGAATGTTCTGGAAGAGAATTTTATACTTGCTGACATGTGTGTTCGGTAATTTTGGCAGTATTAATTTCAGAGAAAACAACTAAGTTGTTATATTGGTTTATGAATAAGATTCATCTGAGTTGAGCATAAATCAGTCCCTCAGAGAATGATCAACTTACAACTTAATAAACTAGCATTTTGCAAACTTGTTGAGTAATGGAAGTGTAAGATAGCAATAAAAGAACAACATAAAACAACCCCAACACACATGCATACATACACACAAAACACACAGAGAGAATAATACCTAACACTTACATGACACAAATTTCTAGATATTATTCTAAACTATTTTCTTAAAATAATTTGTCTAATCCTTACAATAACCTTGTGAGTTCAGGGCTAAATTATTAGTAAGTAATAGAACAGAATTCACACCCAAAGTAGCCTGGTTCCACGGTCTGTACTAAACAAGAAACTCTACTGTCTCACCTCCATATAACTCACTTTTTTCCTCGATCTGCAACTATATCCTTATCTCTCTGGCAATAACATAAATATAAGTCATGGGGTGCAAAATAAATGTTTGATAATAGTCCCCTCCACTCTTTGCAAAATAATTGAACCTTCTTTGGTATTCTTTTTTTCAATATTGAAGTTGTTTGAAGAAAGCCCATGTTAATTTTTATTGTTAATTCTTACCTTCTTTTGCAAACTTCAAAATCTGTGTAGGTCAACTAAATCTCTTGGAACTTTTTGTGGCTAGAAATTGAAGTAAGGCATTGTAAAACTTGTTTTCTGACTTCTTTCAAATCCTAACTCCAAATCATAAGGCAATCCTGTTGGTTCTACCTTCAAAATATATCCACAAACCTTTTACCACCATTCCCACTGCTATCCCCTTGTCCAAGCCTCCGTCATCTCTCACCTCTGATACTCTAATCACTTTCTAACTGGTCTCACTGTGTCCACCCTCACCTCCATAGAGAATACTCTCAATGCAACAGGTAGTGGGATCTTGAAACATCAATCAGATGGTGCAGCTTCATCTCTTGAATCCTCCAATTGCCCCCCAAGTGTAGGTCTTTCCAGGGATTTACAAGGTGTTCTCTCTTTGACTTCAGCTGTTATCACTGTCCTCTTACTCCATCTGCTCCAGGCAATCTGAGATCTTTAATACTCTCACACTGTAGACAGACTCTTGCCTGAGAGTTTTTGCACTGGCTGTTGCCTCTATCTGGATAATTCTTCTGCTAGATATGAGCATGGCTAAAACATTTCTTCAAATCATGTGTTAAATGTCATCTTTTCAATTAGACTTACCCTGACTACTCTGTTTAAATTTGGACATTTGTCCCATCCCTAATCATAACACTGCCTATGCACTCCCCCTTCCCTACATTTTTCCCATAGTGATAATCATTCTCTCTCAATTATTAGGCTTATTGATTATTGTCTGTCTTCCCCTTCCTCAAACCAGAATATAAACTCTGTAAGAGCTGGAATCTTGTTTATTATGTCAACTTTTATAGCCTAAATCCTTATAACAGTGCCTGGCACATGGTGGGTGATAAATCAATTTGTTGAATGAGAATGATACTAACGAAAAAGTAGTAATACTGATCAATGCTTACTTGTTTTTGGAAGAGTTCTAAGATTCTGTCTCTATAACTTTGTTTAATCTTCATAGCAAACCCCTGAAGTAAGTGTTATATTACTCAGTTCCCAGATAATAAAACTGGCACAGATGGGGACAAATGTCTACCAATTAATTATTAAAATTAACTAGGGTTTTGATAGAGTGTTAAACACAGAGACAAAAGAATAAAAGGAAGGGATAATCATCAAATGAGATGTTTAAACTTCTGGGTCCTGGATCCGAAAAGTGTTATTTTAGTCTATTTTGATTTATAAAATATGATAATTTTTAAACATTGAAAGTATAGAATTACTGTATTTATATATGCTCTAAAGAACAGCTGTATTCTAAATCTAGATGTCCCACTTACTTGTTTCATAGACTTGACCAAGGACTGTGCTTTGGCCTGAATGTTCGTATTCCCCAACATTTATAAGGTGAAATCCTAACCCCCAAGGTGATGGTGTTAGTAGGTGGGTCCTCCAGGAAGTGATGAGGTCATGGGGCAGAGCCCTCATGAATGAGATTAGTGCCTTTATAAAAGAAATTCTGGAGGGCTTGTTTACCCCTTTCACGGTGTGAGGTCTCAGGGAGAAGTTGCCATCTGTGAACCAGAAAGTGATTCCTCACCAGACACTGAAGCTACTGGTGCCTTGTTCTTGGACTTCCCAGTCTCCAGAACTGTGGAAAATAAATTTCTGTTGTTTATAAGTTACTCAATTAAGTTTATTTTGTTACAGCCATCTAAGCAGACTAAAGCAGACTGCTTTGTCTCTTGTCTGTTAACTGACATGAAGACACACAGTATAAAACAAATAGGAAATGTTTGTGCCACTTTGTAAGTATAAAATGCCACAGGTAGCAGATGTAAATTTAATCTTTGATCTGGTTTGTCAGAAGCAAAGAGTTGCATATAATAGAAATAATAAAAATGGTATTATTATTTTGAAAACTTTTTAGTTTACCATGTACTTTCATATATGTTATTTAATTTTATCACAGTAACTCTTTGAGAAAATTAGTAAGCATTATCACTTCCATTTCTTGGATACAAAAATACAGGTTCAAGAAAGCTTAAGTTGCTTCTCTAAGATCACAAAATTGGCAGAGCTAGATTCAAAAATCAGTGCTTTTTCCAAAAAACCAATCTCACAAAGACTATTAGAAAATATTCTGAAACATATAATTGCATTTCCTGCTCAAAGTTATAGGTGGAATATCTTGAAATGGATTTGACTTTAAAACTCCAAAGCATATCTACTAACAAATATTTATTAAAAGAATGAAGCTGGAAAATAAAGACATTCATAGAGAGAAGACCTGGATGGATTAGGTATTTTCTCAATGGTGGTAGAAATGACAGCTATGGTGATTGTGTATGTGGGAGGTGGGAGAGAAGATATAATTGTTGTGTGTGTCAGGGCGTTTGGCTCTGTCTAAGGAATTTACTGACTAAGAACATTCCCAATCTGTCATTCTGACTATTTGCCAGGTGCAATTAGGGAAGGGAAGGTTGGTTTCTTCTTTGCATTCATAAATAGCAGGGGACTCAGGAGAAACAGATTCCTGCTGCATTCACACACAAAAAATGTCACTGGTGCAGCATCAAACTTGTTATATCTGATGATCTGGGAGAGAATTTTTGTTCTCTTTTAAAAATCTGTTTCTTCTGAATACCAAATGCACTTAAAATTTGTCTTCAATATGTCTAAGATGTCTTCTGCACATTGTCCTCCACAGAACACCATCAATATATTGCACCCCTGATTCCATATTTGCAAAGCAGTGGACTTAAATGACTCTTCTCATTCTAAAAAGAGAAAGAATATGTTTATGATCAAGAGACATCATTATCCATATTGTACACTATGCACTTTTTCATCCATCAGGGCATCCCCTTGGTAACAAAAGAACCATGTTGTTTTGTGTGTGTTTGCTTTTTAGCATCTAACATAATAAAGGGGGTTACTGAGGGACTGTTCTATTCCCCTTCATTATAATTAAAGTACCATAAAAAGTCTTCAATTTTTATGCTGTATCTCAAGGGTTGGTTTGTTACATTTAAACTAAACCCATTAAAAGTTAGAGTTTATAAGGTTAGTTTTTTCTTTTTTTCTTAAGTAAGAACAAATGCCATATGCCGCTTCTTTTCTTCTCCCGTGGAGTTAGCAGGAAAGATATACTGTAGAAGGAGTCTCCAGCTTTAATGCTGGCTTAGTTGAGCCCACGGAGAGAAGCAGGAGCAAACCCCCTCCCCATCAGTATCTGAGGCAGTCCTTGTATTGACTGAGCTCCAGAGTCAGCTTGTAAGTGGACCAATGCAGGGAGTCCCTCTAATCGCTCCACATCCTTCACTTCTATTAGGATAACATGACATATATCAGAATGTACAAGCTGCTTTTCAGAAACTGATTTCCCTTAAGTCTGTTTGTCTCTATGGCTCAAAGTATAGGTCACCATCGTGACTCATTTTAATGTGTAGTCTGTGATCAGGGCTTGAAATATTCCCCACATGATTTTAAAAATATCACAGGCAACCTACTTTGCTGATTCCATCAGGAAAGTAGTGGGCTGTTTTAGGGAGCTTACAGAATTCTTAGTTTACTCTGTACTGTAAAACTTCCAATATCAGAAGCTCACACTTCCCCACTTCAGAGTCTTTCATAAGAAGCATTGGTGTGGAAAACTTAGAATGTTATTTGAGATTATGTAACTCCAAAATCTTTCTATTTTCAAGTATTTATAGAAAGCTCCGATTAGTCCCAACTACTGTGATAAACACAGTTACATTGACTAGAACAGAGATTCATAACCTGGGATTCAAGAACACCTAAGCGAGTCCTTGAATGGGTTTCATGGGGTCCATAAACAGCTGAAATTTTACAAATATTTGCCCATGTGAATTTATAAGATCCATAACTTCCACTGAAATCTCAAAAGGCACCGTGACTCTAAAAATGTTAAAATCACTGCCTGAAGTTTTGAGAAATATGCATTTTTAACTTCTTACTCTAGACAATTCAGAATGAAATGGCCAAGTGTTCGTGATGAGCAAAAGCAGTTATCATAGTGCCCTAGAAATTTCCACGTGTTTTTTTCACAGCTAAAAAAGATGAGAAATATAATATTAAATCTGCCAAAATAAGACAGAATAACATTTAAAAAAAGAAGCTTTAATTTATTGGAAGAAAAGGGCATGTTATTCAAGAAATGTAAATGCTTACTATTTCTAAGTAATACAAACATGAATGAGTGAATAGGAAGGATGTCCACTTCTGTGACCCTAAATTTACTATTCATCTAAAGAAACAAGAATGAGTGTTGTGAAAGAAACATTAACTGTAAATATAACAGAGTATATGTCTTACTCTGCTCAGGCTGCCATTAAAAAATACCATAGATTTAGTGATTTAAACACTAACAATTTATTTTCTCACAGTTTTGGATGCTCCAAGGCCAGGATCAAGGTTCTAGCCTATTGAGTTTCTTCCAGACTGGCCCGGGGCACATGACTGGATGTGGGAAGTGGGGCATGTAGGGAGGGGTAGGAAGCACTCTCTGGCGTCTCTTTTTTATGAGGACACTAATCCTATTGGATTAGGTCTCTACCTTTATTATTTCATTTAACTGTAATTACCTCTTTATATGTCCAGTTGCAAAATACAGCTGCACTGAAAATTAGGGCTTCAACATATGAATTTTGCAGGAGATATAAACATTCAGTCCAGAACTGATCTGTAATAGAAAAATATCTTTGGAGCAAGCAAAACAAGTTATAATGGCTAAAGAAAATTGTGCGGAAGGGGTGGTACTCAATTTGGGCTAGTCAGGTGAGCTTATTTCAAAATGTTCTCTTTATTTTAAATGTATGGCTTCCCTTCTAGAAAGTATAGGTATGTTTGAAAACCTTTCTTTAACAAGAACTTCTCATCAGTTTCCATAGAATGTACTTAACAATAAAATGCACCTCACATATTGGACAGAAGCCACATAATGTGGTGACAAAAGAGGTGAGATATATTAGAAATAAGCTCCCCATACCTCCAAATTTGGAATAACAAAAGTGCGTGTACGTTCATGACACACATGCATACATGTGCACACATATGTAGGAATACAGAGGCAGTTTCACTTGTTTTAGCTTTTTGAAGACAGAAATCTTGGCTTATGCAAAATTTTAATTTGTGTCCAAAATACTTGGATTAACAATTTGGTCATTTATCCAATGTTCAGACCAGTATTCACTGAGTACTCATTATGTCAGAAAAATGAATACAGTATGTAAATAGATGAAACACAGTAAAACTCAGTGAGTATATGATTGAAGCCTGAATATTGTGAGGAGAGGACATAGAAAATAGGCCAAAGATCTGGCGAGGATGTGGAAAACCCGGCAGAGAAGATGGCATTTGAGCCAAATCTGGTATGATGGGTACGAAAGAGTAGGAACAGCTATTTCAAATAGCAGAACAGCCTAGGCAAAGCCGCAGTCGTGAAAGGTAGGCCTGGGTAAGACTGTACATGTCTCCCAGTTGTATCAAGCCCCAAACTCTATATGTATGCCCTTAATTTACATCCATATGCAAAACAAGTAAAAAGGCTTAGATTTTGACTCTTGAATACTTCTAGTGTGTCACTTAAAAAAGCTATCTGTAAATTCAAACTGCATAGGTTTAAAGCGTAGTCTTGGTATTTAACCTCTCTGGGCCTATTTTTTAATACTAATGAAAATGATGAGTGTAAAATGGAACGTACTTTGTTTTATTAAGAAAGTAACATTTGAACAAGGACCCAAAAAAGGTGGTTGTTAGACAAGTGGATATTTACAGGAAGAATATTCTAGGAAGAGGGAACCTTGGAGGGAAGGCCATAAGCATCTGGTGTGTGCATGGTAGGAGACTACCGTGGTTACGGCCAAGCAAACAGGGTGAATGGCAGTGAGTGATGAGGTCAGATCACATAGAGCCTGATGGAGCATTGTAAGGACTTTGGTGTTTGAATGAAATGAAGAACAATTGTAGGATATTGACACAGGAGAGACAAGATGTGACTTAAGTTTTTGAAGGATCACTGTGCTGCAAAGAGATTGGGATAAAAGTAAGATCGGAGTAGAAAAAGAAAGACTCATTACGAGTCTATTAATCCAGGCAAGACGTCTGGTGGCTTGGACTAAGTTGAAGGCAGTGGAGAGGATAAACAGACAGGTTCTAGATGTATGTTAAACATACATGGACAGGTTCTAGCTGTATGTTTATGGACATGGATTTAGAGAGAAAGAGAGTAATCGAAGATCACTCCAAATTTTTGATCTAAGCAACTGGATGGATGATGTTGCCATATATACATGTGTGCATGTGTGCATGTGTATATATATGCATGCATATATATATAAAATCTACTCAGAGACATTATATACATATATATAATATATACTACTTCCATATATATTATTTACTCTCTACTCATAGGGTTATTGTGATGACAATTTAATTACTTAGCTCGTGTAAATCACTCAGAATAGTGCTTGGCACATAACAGGTATTCAATAAATATTAGCCATTTCTATTCATGCCTGCCTTGTTATACATGTCTCTTTAGGGCCAAGTTAGCTATTTTCTTGTGGGACTTTGACTCATTAATAGCTTCTGGGGCAGAACAAAGCTACTGTATGACCCAGAAATTCAGCCTGCTGAGTGGAAAAGAAACTAAAACTTTCCTTTAGCAGGTATATTCATAGCAGGTCTCCTGGAAAGAGCAAAAAAAAATCACCTTTGGAGAGGAAATGCCGATACCTAACAGATAATAGCTCGTAAGCTGCTTCATCTATGAAACTATGTTGCTCTTATCATCACAAAAGAATAGGAGAGAAGGTGGGGTTATGCAGCTCACAATGAAGGCCCTGACATGAGCCACAAGATTAAATTGGTGTTAGAGGAAGTCTCCTATCTTTTTACTCAGACGGGAAATTGAGAGAGTGACATGACACTAAGTCAAAAAGTCAAAGGTTGAGAATCCAAATAAACTGACAAAAATGTCAACTCACAATCCTAGACCATTAACATAGTCATTTGGGATCTCACCTGTATTTTTGGAATACCCATATTTGTATTTAATCCACACTTGTATTATTTATGTCAAATAAAGTCACAGTATCATTTTCCACACCTACATAGAAGCAGCTGGTTTTTTTTTTGCTTTTTGTTTTTTGTTTTTTGTTTTTGATGGAGTCTCACTCTGTCGCCCAAGCTGGGGAGAGGCAGTTGTTTTTATACCTTGCATGGGAATACTCTGAATAACTTGACAAAGCAACATAATACTTGGAAATTTCACACATGGTTTCAGCTAGATAAACACCACCTAGACACTAGCAGAAAGGATCAGGGACAGATTAGAATGTTTTTGTGAATAGCCAGATCAAATCTAGTGTGTGCTTTCTTTAAATTATTAAACCAGAAGTAAGAAATTGACCCCAATTTGAGCAATATAAAAAAGAAGCTGCAAATAGCCAGCTAAAATTCAGCCCACAATAGAAATGAAACAGATTATCAAGTCACAGAAGAAACTCCAAACACTCTTTAGTTTTCAAATGATAGATCTATTAGCAGACCTCCCTCCTAGGCAACTTCTCCGGACTATATATTATACTCTGAATCACATATTTTTCTCTTGACATTTTAGTGTCATAAGAGGGGGTAAATTAAAACTTGAACTACCTGCATAATGGATTTTTGTTCTGGTAATTAAGATAGCAGCTGGAGTTTTGACTTCTATTGACATGTTTAGGAAGAGAAAGAAAAATGATCCTTGACCAACATGCTAGAATCTCAGTGGGGTAAAGTGGTTTTCCACAGGTGTAATAATTAATCCGAACTCAGAAGAGCTCCTAAAACGCTTACTTCTCTGTAGATTTGATAATTTTGTGTTTCAAAATATTCAGCTGTGACAGAGTTTACAAATAACATGGCCTTGTAATATGCATGATAATCAGAATTTACGTTAAAAATTTTCTATGTCCAAAGGATTTGGAATACTGATTTGAAAAACAAACCTGGATCATCCTAAACACAAGTTGATTCTATCCATCAATCTCACAAATAGAAATGTGAATTTATTTTTTACTGCAGCCATTGGAAAAAAGAACAACATGATGCTCACAAGGAAATTGTTTTTCCTCTTTCCTTTTTGCACCCAACTCTTTCTGAAATCTAGATTTCAGTTTTATTTATATACTTGGTCAGATGGTAAAGAATGTCAGAACATCAATCTGATTAATTCAAGTCTGTGGATGGAATAGTGACACTCCTTGTAAGGTTGCCTTTTATGTCATCATACTGCAAAGGTTAAGTTGATTTGACCTGCTATAATCAAAAGCAGCCGATCGACCACTTCATTTTAATTACAGCTCTTTAGGACTATTTTGATGCTAAGGAAGATTCTGCACTTGCTTTACCAGGAGCACAATTAAAGTTGTCAGTCTTCAGACATTAAAGTGCATGAAAACAGAAAAGAATGGGTTGCTTTAGGTTTCTATTTAATTGAGACATAAAAAGAATTAAATGTAGATGAGGTATATTCAAGTATTTGATTTGCAAAATGCTAGGGACTCTTTAAGATAAAAGGATTGTATAAACCTAAGTTATTATCATTGATTTTCTGCAAAAATGGAGAAAAAGATTTGGGAAAAAAATAGAAGCAATGAAAAGGAATGCATGCTAAGGGACTCATGGATGAATGCTCCTTTGACTTTCTGGTGCATTCCCAAAATTTTGCAATCCCACACAAAATCCAGGAGCTTTGTCAGACTAATGTTTTTATAATTGATGAAAGTTATTTATATTACTTTCTACTGCCATTGCAATTCCTCTGCCTCTAAGATCAGTGATAATCCTTGGACCCATGCATGTTTTTGAGAAGACCTATGAAAGTGAAATCTTCTGGATTCCATGGTAGAAAGATATTTTAAAATTTTTGTTTCTTCATGGTTATTTTAAAGAGCATGGAGAAATTTAAATATCCTTGAATAAGAGAAAAATAATGGAAAATTTAAATTATGTTCAGTAAGAACATCAATATTCACATGAATCAACAAGCAAAGAGAATTATAAATTATCATCATTCATTAAATATAAATTAAACATTTACTAAATGGTATTCCCTTTTTAGAAGCAGCAAACACAAATGAGTTAGATAATATCCTTGCCCTTAAGAATATCATTCTTTCAAAGAGAAAACATAGGTTTTCTAAAGGGAGCAAGAATTAAAATCTAAGAGTGGCTTGTCTTTAAGGATTTTTGTTGTTTTGATTAATGCAGAGCCTGAAAGTCCAACTTCTTTCCCACCAAGACAGAAAAAGGCATAAAGAGTAGATTTAAGAAAAATAGCTCAGGATCCAGAAGAACCAGAATAACAAAATCTAAAGAATTCCTTTAAACATGGGATTTGATAGTTTATGGTAAGTAGGTCAAGGACTCTCACTAAGGAGAGTTTCAGAGTCTTAATAAAATACTTCCCCTATTCCACAAACTGTAAATATATTGACTTCTTTTCACCATGTGGTCCAGAAAAAAATGATTCTAGTTTCTGATTAAATGCAATATGAGGCAAAAGTTTAAATTTATACATAAGTTACTGGTACCAACAGAAATGACACTGATAAATAAGGTAGAGCCAGTAACAACATCATAAGCCAGAAAGTATTTTGGAGGTAGTACAGTTATGGAAAATTGATCTTAATAAGGCCAAGGTAAAGGTTATGTCTTCACTGTGTCCTTGTGAGAAGTATAACCTACAAGGATAAAACTCTTTTAAGTTCTTTATTGAATCTAGGAGGAAGTCAAATTTGAACTTAAAATTTTACTCTTGCCTCTGCTGGGAAATGTAGCTGTGGATTTTAACCCCCAACACTCCCTCCCACCACATATTCATCTAAGTCAAGATTTGAATATCTAGTATATTTACCTACTTAGGGACTTTTAAGAACCCAGATCAAGAAGAGTCCTAAGCTCAGTTTCCTTCTTGCTTCTGGCTGGCATTAAAATGTCACTGAGTTTTTATGCTGTCCATGTAAACCATGTTTACTGACTACTTCACTGGCTAAAATGAATAAACAAATCCTGACATATATATATAAATACACTTCAGGTACCCTAATTACTCAGGCAACTCAAAAAGATGCTCCACTGGGTAGTTTGACAGACCCAAGAGTGAGATGTGAAAGTAGAGAGCCTGCTTTGTCTGCAGAGTGCATAAAATGCTATAATCAAAAGTGTTTTCTTATTGGTTGCTAAAATGAAAACCAACTATGCAGGTTTCATCATTTAGATAAGTTGCTTGGAGACATATTTGTGATTCTAACATCTCGTTGTTGAGAAGGAAGGCATGTAAAAGGAAAGACATGAAGAAACTCTGTTACTCTTACCACTACTACTACAACTAACAATAATTGAGTGCTTCCTAGCTTCCTATCTTCTAAGCATTACATGCATATCATCCTGTTTAATCCTTGCAATAACCTTACATGGTAGGTATTATCATTACCTTCATTTTTAAGATGCAGTAACTAAGGCACAGAAAAAGGGTGAATTACTTTGCTCCAGATTAACAAAGCTGCTAGATTATCATCTAGAGATATGATTCCAGACATAGGAAGTCTGGCTCCATTCCTACCTTTATTTTGCTAAAATCTCTTGTAATCTATTTTATTTTGGCCCTAAATATTAACAAGTATTCATAGACAATTGGTCTCTGAAGGAAAAAGATGAAACCAAGTTATTGTTGCTGTTTTTAAATAATTCTTCTCTAGGACTAACTTGCATCCCACAGCAGAGGACATATGTCAGGTAAGCAGTGCAGATTGCTCGTCTCTGGGATCTTAGGATATTGCCCAAAGCAAAAGAAAGTCTTTGTGTGGGATCCTTTTCTGATGCCAGAATCAAGGCAGAGAAGATGCTCTGTTTCATCACTTCCCTTTAAACAGTACAGGCAGTTCCTTCTAAGACACGTGAAATTGGGCTAACTGATCATTGATAGTAATCGTTTGGATTTCCTTTGATATTAAGATAGGGAAGTGAGACTCCATATGCTGAATCTGTGAGACTTAGATATTTTAAGAGAAGAAATCATTATATTCTAAATTTTATTTAAATGTTCTAATTTCCAAAGTCAGTGAAACCAAGGAAATATTTTCTACATTCTTTTGATTCTAGAAATGAGGTCTTGATTGCTTGACTTGACCAAACTCATCCAAGTAAATTGTGAAATCTGTGATTATACCCAGGTTGAGGCAATTCCAAAAAGAGCAGGAAAAACAGAATAGGTGGTGTCTTAGTTCTTCTTCTGCTGTGATAACAATACCTGACACTGAATAATTCATAAAGAATAGAAATTTATTTCTCACAGCTCTGGAGGTTGGAAAATCCAAGACCAAGATGCCTGCATCTCGTTAGGCCCTTCTTGCTGAACCCTCACATGGTGGAAGGCAGAAGGGCAAGTGATAACAGCATGTTGCATGAAGTTTTCAAATGCCTTAATTCCATTCTTCTTGAAGGAGGACCCATAGTGGCTGATCATGTTTTGAAGACCCCACCTCTTAATACTATCATATTGACAAACCTGAATTTTGGAGGGTACACATTCAAACCATAGCAGGTGGTAAGGATCCAGTTGTACTTAAGAAAATAAATAGAACTGACGATAAATACATCTGTGATTGCCAATCAGAAGATACAGCAAGTTAAGAGTGGAGCTGTTATGCTGGTAATATGACTAGGAAGTAAAAACAGATATGACAGGAGTTAATGAGGAAGTTTGTAGATTGCACACTCTGTGCCAGGCTTCACTAAGTTGTTTTTGTTTTAAAGACATGCACTTTGACTTTAATATTCCCATCGACCTGATGAGATACCTCTGATTACTATATCCATTTTATAAAGAAAGAAACTAAGACAGTAGGTGGTAGATCTAATATCCAAACCTAGACTAATTTCCCTAACCATGATAGTATGATGACTGTTATACCAAATAGTTTTTACAGACAAAAGAGAATTGCTTTTCAGTGAGCTTCTTCATACTCAACAAAATTGTCTAAGACTGTGCAAGGGTTAGGAGTGCAGCAGCTGTAAGTAGTACATATGTTTATGGTGAAACTGTCACACGGTTTAATTCTCACTGAAGTAGTTATAGAAAATCTCAGAAGTTTAGCACTTCACATTTTGAGGTCACTTTAAAAAGATTTAGATTACTTAGCTGCAAGGGAATCCCATCATAAATTGATGATAACTCTACTTCAAGGAAACAAGATCATAAATGTTTAAACAACAGCAAAGAATTCATTAATAGTTGAGCTTTCTGCATTTCTCTATTTGAGAAGTGCCAATTAAATAGCACCTTGGAACAACACAACTGCTGGAATTGGTCATATTAAATGTTGAGACTTCAGTCTCAACACACACTTCTTGCAACACAAGCTTATGGGAAAGTTGCAATGCATTTGTCAAAGGAATGTAGCAAAAGAATTAACACTTTAGAATTGGTCAAACTGAGTTTGAATGTCGACTTTAACACTAGTAGCTGTATAATATTAATGAGTTTTATTCTCATATCACAATTTATAGTACTCATTCATTGTTATAGGCACAAATTAAATTAAATAACATGTATGCTTATATAAAACCTGGTAAATAGTAAGCAAGAATAAATTGTGACTACTATTATTGGACAAATGCTAAGGTATAAAAGAAATTAGCCTAGGAGAATCTGTTTCAGTATGTGACAGCTTCTGGGTGTGTCTATTACAGAAGCATTCCAGAAAGTTCAATCACATTGGCCTAATATATAAAGATCTTCATGAGCTTGTCAGCATAGTGCAGAAAAAAAGAGCATGAGTTCTGAAACCCTTCCCTTGACTCAAATCCTGCCCATATGACTTTGTCTAAATGATTTAACACCTTTGTGCCTCAGTGTTCTCATCTGTAGAACTGAATAGTAACAGTCTCTAGGGTTGAAAGTTGTAAGGATTAAGTGGAGTATCCGTTGAAAACACTTGCCTCTATGCCTGGAATATAGGAAGCACTGAATACATGTTATCTACAGTGTAAACTATCTGGTCCCACCTCTTTTGTCATTTGATCTCCTACCACACTGCTGCAGATACCTTTGGCCTGGCCACACCAACCACTGCAGTTCCCCCAACATTCTTGTTCTGTGCTTCCATCCTTTCCTTAATGTATGTTGTTATGGCTGCCTAGAATTCCCTCTCCACTCCTCCTATGTAGCTCACTCTCACTGTCCTTCAAAATTCAGCTCAAATACGCCTCCACCAGACAGCTGCTCTGACTTGCTTAGATTTAGATGTTCCTTCATTTCTCCTCAGTTTGCTGTCTGTACCACTAGCTCATAGTACTTGTTACATAGCACTGTAATCGTGGCTTTACTTTTAAGTCCTTCTCACTAAACCTTGTACTCCTTAACAGAAATGTCTTGTGTTTATCAAGGGCCAAGCATGGTAACTGGTTCTCCATAAATTCCCAATAAATGATGTGGAATAAATGAATGAATAGAGATGGCTGAATTGCTCAAAAGTACAGTAGTAAACCATATCCAAAATTAGTATCCTTCACTTAGGGCAAAACAGCAAATAGGTTAGGAGCAAGTGTGGGCTTGGGAGTTGACATGGATCCAAATCCTGGATTGCCGTTCCCAGCTCTGTGGCTTTGGGGGAGTTAAAGTCTCTGTTCCTCAGTTTTCACATCTGTATAAGGAAGATGCTAATATTAATAATCTATATCTCTTAGGATAGTTATACGGGTTAGGGATATAATCCCTGTCAAGTGCTTGGAATAGTGCTCGGTACATAGAAATTGCTTAATAAATGTTAGCTATTCAGTAGGAACTGCAAACTCAGAATATGAAGCAAAAAGTTGAGACTACTGTCTCAAAAAGTTGGAAAAGAGTTTGCTGTTCAGTTAAGAGCAGTGACATCAGTTGCATGAGACTTAAACACAGCCCTTGGTTTACTGTCCAAGGGACCAAAGGATGGTCTGGAGACAGCAAATAGCACACTCAGATAAATGATAGCATGAATGCTCCATATAAAATGTAAAACTGGTTGGAGAAGTTTTCATTTAAACTAATTATTTCCTGAAAAATATTCAGTATTTTTTAGTCTCCTACTTTTGGCGCTCTCAGGTAACATTCTAATTAGTTTTTCCTTCCTGTAGAAACCATAAATGTAGTTTGTTCACCTCTCATCATGTGGGAATAATGGGGGACTTCTTAGTACTGTGCTGAATTTTTAGAAAGTCCTTTGAAATGGAGAAAATATCTAGTCTGCAGGCAGAGCAACATTAGAAACTGACTGAATTAAATGCTAGATTCTTGCTCTGTTTTCACCAGAAATATTCCTTCCTTACTGCTTGAGAAGTTGGAAAAGGTAACCCCTAAGATTTATTGCAAAGACAAAAAAATTAACTATGATATGATTCTATGGATTTCAATAGAAATGTTATTTTCTAGAAGGATCAATAAAACCAAAACAAATTTAAAACTTAGATGAAAATATAATTCCAGATATTTTTAATAGAGGGGATGGTAAGTTTTACTACTATTATCTATTTTTTTGAATCAAAAAAATTTATAGCAATATAAGACAGACTATATAAATTCATATGAATATCAGAAATTTAGACAAATAAACAAACATGGAAAATGCCAAGTTTAAGCAGAGAATTCATAGTATATGCAATTGAAGTTCCTGGGGTATCAGCTCAGAGACTGAACCTCACTCAACATCTCTGGATAGTGATTTCTCCACCATTAAAAAAGAATAAAAATATCAGCTCTGCTCACTTTACAGAGTTATTAGAGAAAAGGTAATAACAGATGGAAATTCTTTGTAATGTTACCCATGTGCAGTCTGGGTTGAGTGTGCCCAGCCTTGAAAATCAATGAAGAGTAATTATGTCTTTATGGAAGATAGAATATCTCAACTCCAAATCTCACTGCTCTGGGCTCTTACTCAACTTGATATCAATATGTTCCTGTAATTATTTGCCTCCAATATTCCTGAGAATTCCCCAGATGTGTTTATATATGTAATAAAAATGTTGTCTATTTTCCACCAGTTCGAGAGTCTCAGAGAAGAACATTAATCCACAAGAAATCACTGGGAGCAGGTGTACGTAGGACATACACAAATAGCTCCCAGGGAGTGGGAGTGGTCGTCTCATGCAGAATCAGCCCACTGCTGTTGCTTTTCTCCTGTTCTGCTCTCCTTGGTTGCTCTGCTGTGCACATACTGCCCATTTCCTCTAACTCAGCCAGGAACATGCTCATTATTGCCCTCCTTCTGCTTGTGCTTTCAGGATCTCTGGGTTCTTCCTCAGTCTAGGATTTCCTTCTGGTGAACCCCCAGTAGAGTTCTGCAACTCCCACCCATGGTAACCTGAACTATTTATTCTTCAATGTTAGGGCCTTACCCATACTCAAATCATAAGAGCTTTTGCATCGGTTGATAGGCTGGGAAACTGGAGGGAGCAGAGCTGGCCCCCTTGAGCAAGAGCCTCCTGGAGACATGCTTTCTGAAATTGTGCTGGCTGATATCATCAACTCTTGTTCACTCAGAGTAATTACCTTTGTTCTCCTGGGTTCTAGTATCCATCTTCTTCAGGTGATCTACATTCAGTACAATTCCAAGCTTCCAAGGTGTGAATGGGCTTCATGTTCTTTATCTCTTGGGCCCATACAAATCACAGAAGCTGTTGTAAACACCAAAGCACATCTTTTGTCTTCTGATACTGCAAACACAATGTGTGAAACCTTCTGAGAGAGGAAATTCTTCTGCCCAGGGCATACAGAGGGCATCAGGGGAATGGTGGGGGCTTATCAGAGTCTTTATTTAGCCCAAATACCTTATATATATCATCATATATATGATTATTATTTTCATATGAAGAGGTCATGAGTGACTCTAAGACATTTAGTAACAGCCATGACACAACCTGGTAGCACAAATTCTCCCCTCTTCTTTCCTTCCATGCTGTGAAACCATTTGCTTTTATTGCACAACTCCTACTTATGGCCAAATACCAGAGTAACATATTGCCACTCCCCAACACCTTCCAGCCAGAAAACTAGCCATCAAGTAAGCAAAGAAAACCACAAACCATTGTTCATTTTAATCTATTTTATTTATTTTCCCATATGAATAAAGGTTAGATTGTTGACTTAAATTAAGAAGAAAAAGATGTATGTTAAAACAACCTGGACTTCACAATGGCATTAAAATTAAATATTAGTAATAGGTTGTAGGATGCAAACTGAAGCTTGGTCTCAGGGAGTTAAAAATCTACTGCAATTTAGTTTTACAGTAATGATACTATCAAGATAGAAAATGAAATTACTTTTATTTGAAAAGTCATGATGGGAATAGGCACTTATTACAAGAAGTAAAAGACTGGAATACTTAATTCCAGTTGATGCTAAGATCCATTTAGATATGGCACTCCTTAATAATCTCATCACTGAAATGTGAGGAAGAATTACTGCTTACCCTATACCTCAAGCAATTTTAGATTTAGACAGGCATGGTGCTTTGATAACGGCACAATATATTCAAAGACTAAGTCATTCTCCACTTATCCTATCTGCAGCTGGCACCTCTGAGGGAACAGTTGCTAATAAAATATAAGAGAAGAAAAAGTAGAGAAACTTTTCTCTTAGACACCATTGGTACTCTGGGATTACTGGCTTCTTATTTTTAAAATATTTTTCCAAGGAACTATAGTCATCAACACTAATTCACTTCTAAATTGTGACTGAATAGTCCTGCTTGGGCTATTTATTACCTTCTATTCTTCTACACAGTCTAAGGGTACAAAAAACAGGTAATTTTATATCATTTTTATGAGAAAGTAGATGTGGGAGGTAGAGTACTCCTAGAAAAAGAAAAAGTTTAAGTGTCTCCTTATCAATACTTCATCTAAAGTTCATTTCGATCATTCTTTCACTCTTATTCATATGTTCATATTTATTTTCTTCAAAACTCTTAGGTCTATCCAAAATTACAATGCTGTCTCTTTACTGTTATCTTCTCTCTCTGCTCACTGGAAGATTTGATCCTTCATTGCCATGGGATTTTAATTTTTTCATCATTGTTTCTCTAGTTAATAATACCTTTAGTAGTCTCAAAAACGTATTGAATAAATAAGTGATAAGTGAATATTTAATGTGTTCAAGAGAAAAATTGTATCACAAAGGAGCATTGTCACTGCAAATAGCCTCAGTACTAGGTTAAAAAAAAATAATGTCAGGGATCTCAGCTTCTAAAGTTTTCTTTCAGACTAATACATTGATTTATGATTAATTGATCAACTAACTGGAAAATACATAATTTATGTTCAAATGTAGTTAGTTCAATTGTACACTATCAGCTCTAAATATTATGATGCTTTTAAAGTGTTAAGATAAAGCCTTATGCAGCTAAATAGAAACTTGTATATACTAGTTAAATTAAATTAAATTAATTAAGTTAAATTCATTTAACTAGTGTTAAATGAAATAACTGTATAGTAAAAAATGTTGCCTAATCTTATAAAATTATAGAAAAGAGGAAGTAAAATTAAATCAAAATGGTTCTTTTTGCTAAAGTGATGATGCTCAGGATGACTTCGTGTTTTTATTTTTTAACCTGCTATTTTTGCAATAATGCTTATTTGTGTTTTCAAAATATATACATTGAAAATCTCTTGGGGTGTGTCTCAGGCTGATTCAGCATTTGAATTGATCATATATATATGTCACTTACATATAATTATTATATATAATATAATAGATAATATATAAATATATATTATTGTATTATAGAATTGTATGTTATATATAACACAATTCTATAATATAACAATATTAATTATAATATATAATTAATTTATATTAATTTTATAATTCATATTATAAATTATATATTATAATATATAATTAATTTATATTAATAATATATTAATTATAACGATATATATTCTTATATGTAATAATTATATATATAATTCCTAAAAATCTCTAAAATTGACTACTTTCTTTTGTATTTCTCTAAGCAAAATATCTGTTGCCTCTGATTTTGGTTGACTAACAATTGACATTTACTTAATGCTCTCAGTGTTTTTATCCCATAGCAATTAACTCCATTACTGCCTCTTTCCACTGATAACTTCCTCCCCACTCTTTCTTGTTTTTACTCCAAGAATAGCTGTCACAGACATTATCTTCTTAAAATCATCATGGAAATTATGTATGTGTGGGTCTATGTGTGCAAATGTTGGATAACAGGGGAAAATGTTAAGAAACACTTGCCCATAGAAACAGAGCAACCCATATAATTCTTTCTGCAGGAGCTGTTATCAATTTCAAAAAAAAATTCCTTTAAACATCAAAAACTCATAGAAATGCAAGTGATTTTTCCAGTAATAATAAAAATGGTAATAAATACTCCATATTTGGCATTATCTTACTGAACACACACCTTCTTCATGTTTTATTTTCTTTGACACAATAGCCCCAGGAGAGAAGTGAAGCAAGCATTAATTAGTTTTTCAAAATGATTTTAATAAATATATCCATATATAGGTTCTGTAATATACTTGTTCTTTCTACTGTTTGCCACTGACTTTCTTATTCTAGTGGATATTACATAAATACATTTCTCTAGTACTGACGTCTTATTTGCTCTTTAAAACAAGATCAGCTAGAGCATGCTGCATTTCCATGAAATTTTTTATTGTGTAGACTTTAACATTAATGAACCTGAATGATTTTATGAAGCACTTGATTTGTACTCTCAAGAAATTGCGTTATAATTAATATCACTATGGATAATTTATCTTCAAGATGATTTAGATTAAAATATTAAAGTTGTTGACTGAAAAGTCAGGGATTAATCATTTTGGCTGCAATTATTTATATAAAATGACTGAAAGGACTCTCAGATCTTCAGAGTATTTCTGCAAAGGAGACCTTTATATGAAGATGGGATAAATTTGAGCTCACATGGTTACCCACTAGTTTAATTAATGTTTATAGTTCTCTGAGAAGAAAATAATTGACATTCATAATTGCCAAAGAGGAAAACTGAGACACAAAATAATGAACTTCAGAGAAGGTCATACTTTGTTTTTGTTTTTGTTTTTTTCGCAGTTGCAAGATTTAATAGGGTGAAATAGAGTGAAAACAGAGCTCCCATACAAAGGGAGGGGACCCAAAGGGGGTTGCCATTGCCGGCTCGAATGCCTGGGTTTATATCCCGATCGTTGTCCCTCCTGCTGTGCTCTCAGGCAATAGATAATTAGCTATTTCTTTACTTCCTGTTTTGCCTAATTAGCATGTTAGTGAGCTCTCTGATTGGTTGGTTGTGAGCTAAGTTGCAAGCCCCATGTTTAAAGGTGGATACAGTCACCTTCCCAGCTAGGCTTAGGGACTCTTAGTTGGCCTAGGAAATCCAGCTAGTCCTGTCTCTCAGTCCCCCCTCTCAACAGGAAAACCCAAGTGCTGTTGGGGAGGTTGGCTGATGACCACTCTAACTGCTTCCTGCTGCATTGGGTCATAGTAGGGGTTGTGCAGTTGAGATTTCCTCGGGAGGTGTGCCTTTGATGTCATTAACATCAGAGCATGGGCTAGCAGGCCGGTCCAGGGGTCCACGGTAGATCTTAGTTATGGACTGCATCTGGGGCTCCATTCGAAGAACGATTTGTGGTTTTACAGCTTCGATTCTGGAAGAGACAAACAAGGAGGTTAAAGATACAGGGATTGAAATGTATGGCCTGAAGTGTAAGGGATTATTTCTTTGGCACACTTCACAGGCCCTGACTATCTGCTTGACAGTTTTGAAAAGGCCTGGTTCAGTAAATAATAATTTGGCCATCTGATGGGTGCTATCAATGCCTAAGCGAAAGGTTTGGTGAAGGGTTTTAAGTAATTTCCATTCGTTAGCTGCAGGAAAAAGTATTTTCCTTCTTTGGTGGCTAGCCATCCTGAGGGGAGAAAACTATGTCCTCATGAGGTTCCCCATTCTATTTCTTCTGCTGAGTACTGGGGCTTGGTTTCCTGGAGGGGATTACCCCATACTAGGGGTCCTTCTATAAGCATTTCTAATGGAGAGTCCTGCCTTGTGGCTCTTTTGGCTTCAATATTCGCTTGGTGGTTCCCTTCTATTTCCTTTTCCTTTCCTTTCTGACGACCCTGGCAGTGTAAGACTGCCACCTCTTTAGGTTTCTGTACAGCCAGTAATAATCTCCTAATGGCTTCCTGATGTTTGATAGGTGTTCCCTTGGAAGTTAGGAATTCCTTTTCTCTCCATATTGCTTCATGGGCATGGAGGACTGGGTAAGCATACTTAGAGTCTGTATATATATTTACACGTTTTCCTTCTCCTAATTCTAGTGTCCAAGTGAAGGCTATCAATTTTGCCAGCTGAGCACTAGTTCTTGGAGTGAGGGGATTACTTTCAAGTATTCCATTATCACTGACCACTGCATACCCCGCTTGTCAAAGTCCTTTTTCTACAAGGGAACTTCCATCAGTATACAAGTTGAGGTCGGGATCAGTCAAGGGAACCTCAAGTGGCATAGGTTTGAGCAATTACTTGTTGACAGTTATGTTCTATCTTTTCTTCATTGTCTGGAAGAAATGTGGCTGGGTTAAGAATTGCACAAGTGTGCAGTTGCAGCACTGGCCCTTCAAGTAATAGAGCCTGATATTTAAGTAAATGGTTGTCTGACAGCCACAAGTCTCCTTTAGCAGTGAGTATGCCGTTCACATCATGAGATGTCCACAGAGTAAGATCTCTTCCCTGTATTATTTTAACTGCTTCAGATACTAAGACTGCCACTGCCACCACTACCCGTAAACAATGAGGCCAACCCTTTGCCACTACATTAATTACCTTACTCAGGTATGCCATGAGTTGCAAGCTCGTCCCTCGGACCTGCGTAAGGACTCCTAAAGCTATTCTTGTTTTTTTATGACATATAAAGAAAAGTCTTGCCCCATTGGCAAGCTTAACACTGGGGCTTGGGTTAGGGCCTTCTTTAGGGCCAGGAAAGCCACTTCTGCTTCAGATGTCCATCTTACTAAATGGGTATTGGCTTTCTGAGTTTCCTTAATTAGTGTATATAATGGTCTGTCTATTTCACCGTACTTGGGAATCCGTATTCGGCAGAAACCTGTTATGCCAAGGAACACTCTTAGTTGCTTTAGGGTTTTGAGATGAGGATAAGCCAGTATAGGCTGGATACATTCCTCACTGAGGGCCCTGGTGCCTTTGGATAATTTTAGCCCTAAATATTTAACCTGCTGTGAGCAGAGCTGAGCCTTTGGTTTGGAAACCTTGTAGCCACAGGTGGCGAGAAAATTTAAGAGCACTTGGGTGGCTTGATGGCACAAGGTTTCTGAACGGGTGGCTAAAATTAAATCATCCACATACCAAAGGACAAGAGTGTCCAGGTATGAGAACTGGCTCAAGTCTTGGACTAATGCCTGGCCAAATAGATGGGGGCTATCCCTGAACCTTTGGGTAAAACAGTCCAGGTGAGTTGAGATGTTGGGTTCAAAGGATCTTCAAAGGCAAACAAGAATTGAGAGTCAGGATGTACAGGGATGCAGAAAAAGGCATCCTTAAGGTCCAGGACTGTAAACCACTCTGCTTCCTCTGGTATTTGGGAAAGCAGAGTATAAGGGTTAGGTACAGCTGGGTATGAAGGGACAACAACCTCATCGATAATCCTGAGATCTTGCACTAACCTGCACTGTCCATTGGGTTTCTGTACTCCTAAAATTGGAGTCTTGCAGGGGCTACTGCATGGTTTCACTAGGCCTTGGGCTTTTGGGTCCTTAACAATCTTTTGGAGTCCTTGTTGGGCCTCGGGTCTAAGGGGATACTGCCTTTGGTAGGGAAAGGAGGCAGAATCCTTTAGTTTAACTTGAACAGGATGGGCATTCTTTGCTCATCCATATTGTCCTTCTGTTGCCCAGACTTCAGAGAAGGTCATACTTTGAGTAAATAATGGCATTCTGAGATTCCACCCTTTAGTCTGCCTCTGTCAGCTTTCTGAGGGTGATAACTATGCTGACCTCCTAAATGTACAACACCTAATATATAGCTACACATATCCTAGACTCCTAATAAATGCCACTTGTCACCTGGATAATGCTTCCTTCATGGAGCTGTGCTGCCTAATTAGTTCTGTTATACTCTCCTTAAGTGTCCTTAGCCTCTTTTCCTCTTCTCTATACTGCTCTCAGGTAACACTAAATATCCCCAGTCATTGTACCACAAAGTGGGTTGTATGGTGGCCCCAAGAAACGTAGGTCTACATGGTAATACCCAGCCCCTGTGAATGTTATTTTATTTGGAAAAAGTGTTCTTTGCAAATGTAACTTAATTAAGGATCTTCAGATGCGATCATCCTGGATTATTTGAGTAGGCCCTAAATCCTGACACATGCTCTTGTAACAGACCAAAGAGGAGAAGACACAGACACAGAGGTGAAGGCCATGTGAAAATGGAGAAAAAGATAAGACTTACCCAGTCATAAGCCAAAAAGTGCCAAGAGCTGCCAGAGGCGAGGCTAGGCAAGGAAGATCCTTCTGTAAATCATGAGCAGAAAGTGTGGCCACCCACATCTTTGATTTCAGACTTCTGCTTCCAAAATTGTGAGATAATTAATTTTTTTTGTGTAAGCCATCCAATTTGTGGTACATTGTTGCAGTGGCCCTACAATACTAATATGAGCTGCAATGATAACTGATAGAGAAATGGTTTTGAATAGGTAAAATAGGAAACATTCTAAGATTTATGTATTTAATTTAGACAATGGTCCAAGAAAAAAGCACACAGGTATATGTAATAAAATAGAAAAGAGCTACATTTTAATAAATTGATCTGAGACAGGAATAGATTTGCTGCAGATGTTCAGCCCACTTTCACAACTGGTTAGTTCTTCTCCTTAGCAGCCACCAGTCTGCACTGAGAAATCAAACAAACAAAACTTCTCTATTGCTCTAAATAAAATACTAAATGGATACTTCGTATCTTCAAATAATGTTTTCTCCTGCCTCAGATTTTTCTGGCTGTATGTATAAGGGATAGTGGTTACTATGATGATCAAAAGTTCTCTTTTTTTCCTGGAGAAATAAACTTAAATTTGCTCTGCAGCAGAAAGGTTTGAGGATTGTCCCGGATAAAAATGAAGCCAAGAAGTTGAATTATTTACCATGTAAAAGGTATTTTTTCCTAAGGTTGTGGTCGGTCACTTGATGTTATTCGTAGAAAACGGCACAGTTGTCTGTATATTTTAGAATATAAAACAAAAGTAACATTTCTAAAAGTAAAGTGATTATTTTCCCATCTATAGGATGCATTTTTTAAAACTGTAATCATTACATACGTTGATTTACAAAATAATAAACCCTCAACTAGCTACTCTAACGTGAACAAGTTACTATACGGATAGAACATTGGCTAATCAAAGAAGTCACTGGCAATTTTTTTTGAGGGGGTGGTCATAATGGTTGTGTCGCTGAGAGACTAGAGAGCCCAGCTGTATCTGCTTAAGCTTGATTAAAATAGCTCCATCAAGCGTGAACAGTTCAAGTGGAGTCCAGAGGCACTTCCCAAAGGGTTCTTTGTCTGTGATTTTCTTGCTGTGGTCATTTGATCAGGAGACTCAATCTCCAACACTTTGGAACTCCCCTGCTGAGAACTCCGGTGCTGAGAGTACAGCTGTGCAGGGCACCTGCTAATCGTGCCGTTCATCAGTTATCTCCATGTCGTTGTCTTTGCCACCAGACTCTGAACTTTTTATTCCTATATTACTATGCTCTTGTAACCCACTTTTGAAAATTATTACAACATTGTCGCTTTAACTTTTAACGTTAAAATGGCAACAGGAAACTCATGAACAAAGGAGACGTACATAGAGATAGCCTATTCATTAAGCCCTGGAAGTTGCATACATTTCCTCCCCACTGGCTCTTCCAGGGTCCTGTGCAAGATTTCCCTTTTCTATTCCTACTGAAGTCCTTGACACATAAACCAGCCCTTAAGGAAAAGCTGACAACGTTTCTAAAGAAACAAATGAGCCAGGCAATTCAGAAGAACCAGAGGCCAAATTTTCCCTTAGGATAACAAGTTCAGCTCCAGTGACAGTTCAATCGAAATTACTAGAAGTATATTAATTCCCTGTTGGTCTCTTTAAAATGAAATTAACAGTCTAAAATCAATAATTTCAAATCTATACAATGATTAATAACCTATCACATGTGACAGAAATATAGAGATTCCTCAGTTCTAAATATGGTGACTAATTATAAATATTTCAAAGCCTCCAGCAAGACTCTAAGGTCCAGTGGACCATGAGTCTCTAAGTTATTGAAATCCCTTTTGCACTTGGCTGCAATCATGTTTTGCCCAGGTGGAACCAGAAGGCTTATTTTGAGGTCTAGGGTGTCTCAATCTATTTTCTTAATAAGATCAAAGGAGAAGACTTTTCAGACTGGGATTATGACTTATATAAGATTTTAAGGAAAAAAGTGGAGGTCATCCTGCGCTGGGAAGTTCCCACAACATACAAAGGAGAGGAACTTCATCCATCAACCAATACTTGATTAGATCTTACACCCTTCCAAAAAGGGAATGATGTCCTCTCCCACAACATACAAAGAAGAGGAAATTCATTAGTCAACCAAGACTTGATTAGATCTTACACGCTCCCGAGAAGAGAATGAAGTCCTCATTTTCAATAATAAACCTCAGTCTTTCAAAAAGAAATAATCTGACGGTATGAATCCCATTTTAGGAAGCCTTTTTACATATCTTTTTTCATCTGAAACATAATTAGAAGATTTTCATGAGCAAGTTAAGCCCTTCTAAAGCATATCCAGAGCCAATATATAGGGTTTGGTCATTATTAGGATGAACCATATACTATTGCCTCATTCAGGTCAAAACTATAAAATATTGGCCAAAAAAACCATGGTATTAGGGGTCAGTCTTGGGGGACAATGACCTGAAACAGGTAAAACAGAATTTCTGAGGTTCTGATAATGTTCTGGTTCTTTATTTGGGTGCTAATTAATTTTTCAAAATGCATTGAGTTACACGTGTGAGTTTTCATATGTATATTATACTTCAATAAAAGTTGATATTAAAGTAAAAAATAGATGTACACTTCAAAGAAATAAAGAAAAAGAGGATAAAACAATAGAACATCTCACTAGAGAATTTGAATCTATGAAAACAATCAAATAGATATTCTAACAAGGAAAATATAATATCTAAAATTTAAAACTAAGTAGATGAGTTTTATAACATTGGTGCTGGAGCAGACAGGATTAGTGAAAATACTCAGACCGAAACACACAATGCAAGCTGTTATCAGTAGGCAGTTTGCATGAGCTCAGGACTGTCATGAAAGTTAAGTTGCCTACCTAAATAAATAAAGTGAATTCAAGCTTTTACAGAGGTAGTTAAGTTACAGAGGTAGTTACAGAGGTAGTGAAGTTTTTACGTGTAGATGTGTAGGATAAAGAGAAGAGATTATGGATAATAATTATGCTTATTTTTATGCTTTTGATTCAAGACCTTATATAATTATCACAGCAATCCTATAAAACTGGTTAACACCACTTTTAAAAGTTATAAAACTAAAAATCTTAACTGGTAATAATTTGCTAAAGATCCCACAGCTAATACATGAGAAAGTTGGGACCTAATACTAGTTTTGTATCATGCCAAAGCCATTAAACTCTTTTCAAGACTTTAATTCATTTATGAAAGAAGCAGATTAGCAAACTACAGTATCTCTCTAGCTTTAACTATCTCTGTTGTTAAAAATAATTGTTAATTAATATCTCAATGGCTTGAACAATACCAAAAAAGATTATGTAGGGCTCTGTGTTAAAATTATTGCAGAGAATTTGTGTTATGTGCTGTTTCAAATTAAATACATTTTATCAGATAATTCTAGAGAGCTAGGGGATCTTCTCTCTTTACAAATGAGAGAACTGACCTCCTTGAATTATAACGTCACTGCAGGATCACACATAACCTATAGCAGATCTGATATTAAAACCCAGGGTTTCAGAAATACAGTCAAGTGCAACTGCAATGTCCAATCTCTGCTAACAAATTCTTTTTATGAGGATCTCTGTGAGGCTCCAATTGTATTTTTTTTTCCTTTTTGAGATGGAGTTTCACTCTGTTGCCCAGGCTAGAGTGCAGTGAGGTGATCTCGGCTGACTGTAACCTCTGCCTCCCACGTTCAAGCTATTCTCCTGCCTCAGACTTCTGAATACCTGGGACTACAGAAGCCTGGCTTTTTTTTTTTTTTTTTTTTTTTTTGGTATTTTTGTATTTTTAGCAGAGATGGGGTTTCACCATGTTGGCCAGGCTGGTCTCAAACTCCTGCCCTCAAGTGATCCACCTACCTCGGCCTCCCAAAGTGCTGAGATTACAGGCACCACCCTCCAGTTGTATTTGAAAGATAATTCGACACAAGAATATTCCAACTCCTGGCATTAGCATCATCTTCTTGGAAACCTCTGTGCCATGAGAGCCAACTGGAGGAAGAAGCAAATGCATGGAAAGAAGCAGTGCAAAAGAAGAAAAGTGAGACAAAGGTCCAGTAAACTGCTTAGCTTGTGTGCCCATGAAAACCACAGGAGCAGAAACATGGAATGCCAGAGGTTGGAGATGCTGTTACAAGTTGATGGGCTGCATGCTACTTGCTAGAACTTGTCTCTCAATGGATCTAGAATTTTCCTCACCATCTGGTTGCTGAGACCATCTCTGAGAGACCCACCTTGCTCATACCCAAACAGTCCCTGTCAGTCCTTTGCCTTGGACCTGCGATGTTCTGGCTGTTTCTGTGTTCAGTGGTGGCCAAGTGTAACAAGTATACAACAAATCACCTATTTTGCTGTCTTAACTAAAGAATCAGAAAAAAAAAAAAGAAAAGAAAAAAGATTCTTTTATTATTATTTCAATAGTTTTGGGGGAACAGGTGATGTTTGGTTACATGGATAAGTTATTTAGTGGTGATTTCTGAGATTTTGGTGCACCCATCACCTGAGCAGTGTATGCTGCACCCAGTGTGTAGTCTTTTATCCCTCACTCCCCTCTCATCTTTGCCCCCAAGTCCCCATAATTCAGTATATCATTCTTATATCTTTGTGTCATCCATCAAGTGAGAACATATGATGTTTGATTTTCCATTTCTGGGTTAGTCCACTTAGAATAATGATCTCCAACTCCATCCAGGTTGCTGCAAATGCCATTATTTCATTCCTTTTTATGGCTGAGTAATATATCCATATATATATATGCCCATGAAGGCCACATGAGTAGGTATATATATAGACATATATGTATGTCTATATATACACCACATTTTCTTTATCCACTCATTGGTTAATGGGCATTTACACTGACTCCATAATTTTGCAATTGTGAATTGTGCTGCTATAAACATGCGTGTGCAAGCATCTTTTTCATATAAAGACTTCTCTTTTTCTGGGTAGATACTCAGTAGCAAGATTGCTGGATCAGACGGTGGTTCTACTTTTAGTTATTTAAGGAATCTCCGTACTGGTTGTACTGGTTTACATTCCCACCAGCCGTGTAAAAGTGTTCCCTAGAAAAAGAAGATTCTAGTTTAACAAAGATCTTGAGAAATGTATTAGCATTTCATTTATTTAGCCAGAAATCCTTGGTATCTTAAGCATTTGATGTCTTTAACACTTTTCTAAATCAAAGAAACTAATTTCTTTGTGACTCAAAGTGAGCAAAACTCACCTACTACACAAAATCACCTGTCATTGTTAAGAAAGTTCTTGAAAGATTTGAAAAGGAACTGACTGTATGTTGAGGACTTAGCGTAGAGCATCAAGTTATCCCATTACACCATTTGAAACCCTGGGATGTGTTAGTCCTTATTAATAGTTAAGCATTGGTCATTTTTTTGTGTTCATCTTGTTCTCATTTTTCTACAAAGAATGTCAAGAGATTCATTTGTGAAGGTACTGAAACAATCACCTGAAACATGAAACACTGGTGTTTTCCTTTTTAAAATGAGCAACCAGGGACATTTTCTTCACTCTCCTCTTAAAATGAGCAGTGATTTAGGGACAGCTGAGGAGGCCAGAATCTGGAAGTCTGCCTAACAGGTCATTTGTTTCCAGTTTTTGGAACATGAGACAATCACAATGATTGATGCTCTCATGTACGGGCTTTTTTGTTCTTGTGCAGTAACAGTGAGGGCATGATTAGCCATCTTTGCCAGCTGATGTCTTGTTGGCACACCTGCCTTGTTACCACTCTAACAGGCCCGTGTCAGCAGCTCCGCTTCCTCCTGACAAGCTGCGAGCACAGGGGACAGCACAATCTGAAACTCTTACGGATACCAACAGCAACAAAAATGAAAGCAGTTATGGTGGGCAAGCATTAATCTAAAATTTTTTTTAAAGGACAAGCTTTTTTATATTTGACTCCTACTAATAATAAGGATTTGGTGGGGGGAAAGAGAAAATAAATTTCAATAAGATTTTTCCTCAGGGGAAGCAAACTTAGTTGTTGAAGTTTAGATTTCCTATGTACTGAGAAATTAATATTTTAGTAACTTCTATTCGATTGAGCCAGAGGAAACATCTTTTGAGAGAGCATTCTCCTTTTTACTGATAAATACTGTTTCTTCTTTTGAGATGGAGTCTCACCCAGGCTGCCAGGCTGGAGTGCAGTGGAGCAACCTCAGCTCACTGCAACCTCCACCTCACAGGTTCAAGCAATTCTTGTGCCTCAGCCTCCTGGGTAGCTGGGATTACAGGTGCCCACCACCATGCCTGGCTAACTTTTGTATTTTTTAGTAGAGACTGGGCTTCACTATGTTGGCTGAGCTGGTCTCAAACTTTTGACCTAAAGTTATCCATTTGCCTCAGCCTCCCAAAGTGCTGGGATTGCAGGCATAAGCCAACACCCCTGGCCCAGAAAAACATCTTTCAATTTTCAAAATTTCATATAAGACTGTTAAACTCCAAATTTGTCTTCAGGAATTTAAGCTAAAGCCAAGTAGTTTCCTAGCCAATGGAATTTCTTTTTCTCCCTTTCCTCTCAGTAGCCATAGATTTTCTACTAATTTAACCATTTTATTTCTTTTTAATTTTATGGGTTTTTTTGGTGCTCTTGTACAAATTGATCATCAACAAATCAATCATGAAATATTTATTGACAGACACTGATGACAAGGGAGAAAATATGGGCTCTGAAGTCAGAAGACCTGAGTTCAAGTCCCACTTTGTCATTATCTGCTTGTGTGATTTCGGGCACTTACTCTCTTATCAAGTTCCTCATATGTACAATAGTGAAGAAAAGGAAGAAGTTCCATTTCTTATAGTTACTATGAAAACTAGATGGAGCAAAACTAGGTGTCTTAAGTGTAAAATTAAATAAGATCTATGATGCATATTATGAATTATACAGTACAGGTGGTTGTTAATTTTCTGTATCAACTTGGTTAGTCTATGGTGCTCAGTTGTTTGGCCAGATCCTAGTCTAGATATTGCTGTGAAGGTATTTTGTAGATGTGATTACTATTTACAATCAGTTGATTTTAAATAAAGCAGGTTACCCTCCATAATGTAAAGGGCTTTATCCAATCAGCTGAATGCTTTAAGAACAAAAACTGAGGTTCCCTGGAGAAGAAGAAATTCTCCCTCAAGACTATAATATGGAAATCCTGACTGAGTTTCTAGCCTGCTGGTCAGATATCTTTGAATATCAGACTCAAGACTGTAACATCAACACTCACCTGAATTTCTAGACTTTCTGTCAACCTGCCCTACATGTTTTAGACTTGCCAGATCCCACAGTCATGTGAGATATGAGCCAGTTCTTTATTTAAAATCTCTCTCTCTCTGTCTGTCTGTCTCTCTGGAGAATGCTAACTGATACAGTACTTTCCACAATTAGCAAAACCTTATTGAGTCCTTGCTCTGTGATAGACATTATATGAATATCATTTTTTTAAAGTCCAGCATGGTAACTACTAAGCAACAGAGCAACATTTTTATTATTATTATTCCTAAGTGGTGGTTACACCAGATTTAACTATTGTCCCAAAACTCCAGATATTTTCCCTTAAACATATTGCAAAATAACAGAACCAACCCTATGGACTTGAGCACAATTTATCTCCAAGCATATGAAGAGAGATGGGACTTCACAAGAATTAACTGAAGACATTGGAGGTGCACATGGGAAGGAGACATTGGAGGCTTTTGCAATTCAGCAACCTCGGTACTTGCTGCCTTCCATGTAGGGAGGGTGTGGAAGAGTTTACAGTGTTGTGAAAGCGTGGAGCTTTTTTCTAAACACAAAAACTGATGTTTACTTCTCAACTGGAGATTCCTGAAGTAAGCAGCTTGTTGGAAAAGCCCCAGAACCAGAATAACAAAGAGCTGTAGTATAGAATTCCCCGGGGGGAGCTAGAGGCGGTTGGGGAAGAATAGGGTACCTCTATCCCAGTTATCCATAGCCCCTGGAGAGGGTACAAAGCCAATTCCTATGGCTTCACATATAGGAGAAAGGGGATTAGAAGAAGAAATGAATCCATAGAGCTGTAACATCGATGACAGATCATGAGAGGAGATACCATTCCCTGTAAGGATTTGGTGCTGCAGTCAAGATTAAAGGCTAACATAATTTTCTAAGAAGATCTTTCATCAGGAGCACCAGGTCAATTTGAACACTGTCCTAAACAACCATACACATAACTGCAAAGGTCACCAGCACCACATAGAGCCAGAAAGAACTAGAGAAGACCAGAGCCATCCTCTAGCAGCAATGTACGGCTAGCTCACATCAGAAAATGTCACTCTGTCACTCCTGGTCTCATCCTGGCTCCATCCACTAAAGGAGGTATGCCTTCAAAAGAGAGTACTCTCCATCTTCACCATGCAAGCAGCCAGCATCACAGTTCAAACTAGAGATTAGTTGAGAATTCTTAGCAAACTAATTATACAAGGTAAAAGATAATATATGCCAGGCTAAATAGCACCTCATCTATATAATGCTCATTTCCAGCTTACAGGTTACCTTTAATAATATCATCTTACTTATAAGGATCCTATGAAATACTTTTTCCTATGTATTTCCTTACAATGTAGTACTATTCAACCATTTAAAAAAATGAGATCATCATTTGCAACAGCATGGATGGAACTGGAGATCATTAAGTGAAATAAGCCAAACACAGAAAGACAAACATCGCATCAGTTACTTGTGGGATCAGTTCTCAGTTATACGTGGGATCTAAAAATCAAAACAATTGAACTCATGGACATAAAGAGTAGAAAGATGGTTACCAGAGGCTGGGAGGTTTTTTTAAATTTTAGGTTCCTGGGGTACATGTACAAGTCTGTTACATGGGAATGTTGCATAATGGTGAGGCTTGGGCTTCTAGCTAACCTATCACCCAAATAGTGAACATAGTTTGCAATAAGGTAGTTTTTTCCATCCTCATCCTCCTCCATTTCTCTCACTTTTGGAGTCTATTATTTCCATCCTTGTGTCCATGTATACTCACTGTTTGGCTTCCACTTACATTTGAGAATATGTGGTATTTGACTTTCTGAGTTATTTCACTTGGGATAACGGCTTCCAGCTCCATTCGGGTTGCTCCAAAAACATAATTTCATATTTTATGGCTGTGTAGTATCCCATATATATAATTTATATATATAAATAATAGTTTCCATATTAGCCATTTTATATATACGGAATGTACAGCCATATAATATATATAGTATTATATATATATATGCTATATATATAGTATTTTATACATATACACTATATATAGTATTCCATATATATATAATACGGCTGCATAGTATTCCATATATATAAACATGTTACATTTTCTTTATCCAATCAACTGTTAATGGACACTTAGGTTGATTCTATGACTTTGCTATTGTGAATAGTGTGGCAATAAACATACAAGTGCACATGTCTCTTTGATAAAATGATTTCCTTTGGATAGATACCCAGTGATGGAATTGCCATGTCAAATGGTAGTTCTATTTTTAATTATTTGAAACATTTCCATACTGTTTTTCCTTGCAATACTTATTTATGTCTTTAAAAAAAAATAAGGGAAATTCAGTTTCAGAATGATTAAGAGACTTGCCTAAGGTCTCAAAATTATGGTGCTAGGCCTAAATTTGTCCTAATGACCAATATGGTCTAATCACAAACTTTTTTTTCAGCTACACCAGGTTTTATGGGTTAATCATCCCACTAGAAATCCTCTGAAATAGTGGAGTATATTTTCTAATTCCTGGAAAGTCCTAAATTCTCTGGTACAAAAGCCAGAATTCTAGAGTAATGGTGACATTACTTACTATATACCACAAAGGCACATTAAGAATGATCAACAATTCTAATAACAACTTTTCATTAAACTCTGATGTTGTATGCTTTATATGCATTATCTCCTCTAACCACATTAACATACTAATGCCAAATCTACAGATAGGTAAGTTTTTCCTTGATTTCACCTTCCTGCCTTCTTCCTGTTATCTACAATCAAACAACTCAGCTACATAATAGGAGATGAATATATGTGGTTTGAATATATTCATGAAGGATTAATGAAATAATAACTATAAGTTGACAAGCAGCATATATTGACTTTCACTCTATCATTTAATCCCTCAAGTAAGCCTCTGCTTTTGAGTACTCCACAAATATTTGCTGAAATAACTATCAAAGAGTTATCATTACAAAGAGAAATCTATCCTATTTTAAGAATTGCCCAGAAGAAATCTACATCATTTTCATTTTCAATATTAGAAGATCGTATATTTTTAGGTTGTTGTCATCCCCTCTACTAATCTCAGTAACTAAGATTTTAAGTTAACATAATTATCAAAGGCCCCAAAACTTACCTATGACTCTACCTTCTTTCTCTGAGCAAGTGAACATATAGTTTATTGAAAAATAAAATAATATTATTCTTCATGAATGAAATTCAACACACTCTTGTACCAGCTTCACTAATCAAATAGTTCTTTCTTATGCTTAACATAGTTTTTCTTCAAGTGATTTAAGATATTTCTTGTTGCTCTTTGTGAATCAAAATGATCAAATAAAAATCATTTTTATCTCTCAAATTCAAGCTAAACTGTTTTTTAGATAGGCTAGGTTCAATTTCAAGCAATAGAAATTTAACTCTGGCTTAAACAATGAGGAAATTCATTATTTCATTAAACAGGAAATCCAGAAGGAAGGCAGGCTTCAAACTTGGTTGCTCTAGCAGCTCACTCTTCCATCAAAGACCCAGGTTCTTTTTTGTTGTTATTTTTTGTTATTGTTATTTGTTTCCCTGCTGTGCTGGCTGCAGCCCCCTACTGAATCCTAAATCAAGATCTGGCAATTAAAATTAAAGCCACAGTACGTAGGATGGATGCAACACCTTTGTGACACTTAACATCCCCTTGACTCTCTCACCTTGTCTCCCTCTGCTCCCTCTCCCCTACTCTCTGTTCCTGGTTCAGTGATCTTCATGCCACACTGTTGCTTGAGGCCTTTGCTCTGTCTCCTGAGCCTAACACACTCTTCCCTCACATCACATATCCATTTGCCCAGTTCCATTGTGTTCTTCAGGCCTTTGCACAAATCTCACAGCTTTATTCTGACCACTTAATTTAATTAAACAACCTATCCCTGGGCACTCTCAATCCCCACTCTCCTTTTATTTTACACGGTACTTGTCACCTTCAGATTTATTACATACTTTATCAATTTATTATGTTGACTGATTATTTTCTTACTCCTATGTCAATCTCCTACTCCTAAATCTCTTACTCCTAAAGTCAATCTCCGCAAAGGCAAGACTTCTTGGTTTACTCATTAGTATATCTCAAGTACCTAGAACAGTCATTAGGAAATAATAAGTGCTCTATTCAATATTAGTTGAATATTGTTGAATGAATGTTTATAAAATGGCTGCCTGTACTAATTAGGTCCATAGGCTTCCTTGTTTATTTACAGGAGGAAAAGAGAACTGGCTTCTCTTGTTCTGAAGAAAGCAAGGAAGCATTTTAGACTAAGGCTCTTTAGAACAACAAAGCTTCTATTTCAGAAAGAACAAGCAGGACTCTGCTTAAATCTCATTGGTTAAAAATTAGATTACACACCCTTTCCTGAACCACTCCAGTGGAAGAAATATAATTACCAAGATTGGTTTAAATTAATCAGAACCTACTTTCTAAGTTTGGTAATGAGTTGAAGTCATCTAAACTGAGTCACACGGGTTTTGTGAGGAAGAGATGAATATCTTTACAAAATTCAGGTTTTATAGGAAGAAGAGAATAGATCTCAGTTAGATAATCAGCCATGCCCACTACATCTCCCACATGTGATGCTTAATTGTTCTTCTCGTAGTTCTTATTTCTGTCATGGTCCCTCAGACAATAAACCTTGGAATTATTTTTTTTTTCAGTGCTCAGCCCTGGCTACATGCTTTAATCACCTGTGGAGTTTTCAAAGCTCCCACTGCCTAAACTGTACACAATAGCAATTAAGTTAGGATCTGGTGTGGTGGTACAAGACATGAGACATTTTTAAAGCTCTAAGTGGTTCTGCAAAAGAAATTGAAATGGACCCAATAAACAAGCAAGGAAGACTGTATTTAAGGCTATTGCAATTAGGGATAGATTGTATAGCAATAGAAGAGAGACGCTGAACTCAACTTGCTGAAACAAAAGGCAAGGAGCATTACTAAGCACTGAGGTGAGCTAGTTGATGGAGAAGTAGTACCAGAAGATATTAGGGGAGAGATTGGTCTGTGGGACGAGGCCCTCTTTGTTTGCTAGTTGGTGCTTATTAAATTTAGGCTCCCCCGTCTCCTGCAGAGACAAGAGAGAGGGGAACTATCTTTCTTGATGATTAAGTTTCAAAGGGATGGCTCCTCTGTCCTTAAGAAAGACATTCCTGGGTTGCAGAAGACTTACTTCTCAAACAGACAGAAAAATTCAGTTGTAAGTTTTCTGAAATAAATCCCTAACAAAAGGGAGATCAGGGACCCATCTTCAGGAAAAATTCTATTTAAAGTTTAGTCAACCTGAGGGGACTATTAAGGCCATCTGGGTCAATTCCTGTGTGCAGATTGTTGAGAACCACCACTCTGCCCCTTTTTCTTCCTCAATAACCATATACATTCAGTTACTGAGTCTTCTTAATTTTATAATTGGTAGGTAAAATTAGGTATCTCTAGTTTGATTCCTTCTTGCCTTACATTTTTGCCCGGATTCCTGAAAGGGATTCCAAACTATTCTTCCTAGCTAGGTTATCTTGCCACTTCAGTAAAATTGCAACTGACTGCAAGAGTTATCTCATTAAATTAAAATACATCTCTTTATATTATTTTCCTACTTAAAACCCTTCACTGCTCCCCATTAGCCTAAGAATATCATCAGATTCTCCTAACATAGTTTGCAAGGATCTTATGAAGCAATCTATGGCCTCCATTTATTTGTTCGTTTCCAAACTATTGAAGGATTACTATTTCCTTTAGATCTAGATCCAATTTCAGCTTCTTTGGGAAGTCTTTCCAGACTCTGCTCAAACTCCCATGACAGGTGTTATTATTATGACAACAATAGTTATTTGCCTTGCATTATGTTTTCCATGCAATTTTTGTGAGCTCTGGTAAGCTAAGTATTCCCCCCCACATCTGTTTGTTGCCACACTCTCTTTCCTCTAGGACTAACACATGTTGGATCAAATGAATTAAAGGTAATTTTGACATTACACTATATCCCATACAAGTATATATAGCTAGTAAGTGGTAGAGCTGAGATTTGAACCTAAGAAGACTGCCTCCAGAAAAAGTATTTGTAATAAAAATCTGTATTGTTCAGAAGTGAAGATGACATGGAACAAAGACTAGGCTGCAATACAACGTGAATGAGAAATCAACCCTTGTTGTTGGCTCCATTTATTACTGAAACATAACTTAGCCTAAGCTCATTGATACAACTCCCTTTAGCTTTGTGTGTGTGTGTCTGTGTGTGTTTTAATGTTTTTTTTTTCCCTATGGTGGTTTTGGCTGTTGTACAAGTGGTAAATTCTTAACGCATTGTTATAAGACCAAATTTACAATTCAGTTAATTAATGTTTTATTTTGCAAATAATAAAAGAATTTCTTATGAATTAGTTTTTGTTTCTTTTGTTTAGAATTATAAACATAAGAAACCAATGAATCAAGCTAGGATTCTATCTTTTCTTTGCCTGGTTACCCGGGTGTTTCCACTTTTAAGAAATTTCAGGGAAGCCTACTTACCAAGTGTCTGACTCCAGTGCTTCATAAATAGCTAATGGAATCACAACTATACCTTTTTTTTCCCACTGGGGAAACAGTTTTTCATATGTGGGAGTTTTAAAGTTATGTCAGAAAGTTCACACCTTTACTCTCGGATTGGCATTGAACTTGAAATTTTGCCTTCTCCAGACTCAAAGAAAAGCTGACCTGAGTCAGAAAGGCAATTGCCACAGAATGTGCTAAAAGAGAATAGCCTCTTCAGCTTTTATCTGTGCATTCACTACTGCTGACTAATTCTGTTCTGCTAATTGCTGTCAAAAAGAAATGCCCATGTTCTTCTGCCAACCTGGGCAAGGCTGACATATTTCTTGGCTCAGGTTCACAATAGCCTTTGTAACAAAACATATTGATCTCCCTTGAAGCGAATCTGACATAGAAATATGTAGATGCTTGCAGTTAGATGCTTTATACTCCTATATATAGACAGATACTTCTCAAATACTATTAGCTGCATTGTAGCTAGTCCATAGCAAACATTCTTTTACCCTCTGTTGACATATGAAATCACCTATGGTATTCTACTTATGTACTTTCTTGACATCTTTCTTTTCAACAATAAACATTTATTTGGCTTAATTATTTTTGGTATGTGAAAATCTAGCACTCTCTATTTTTTTCTTAAGTGCTTTTTATTTCTAGCAGAAAACTGCTTTGTAATTGAAGCCTATAACTACTGTCCATGCTCCAGAAAATATATTTTTTAAAAAATTGCTGTGCTTGGCTTTCATCTGAGCTTGGTATTTCTGCCCTGGCAGCTGGGAGAATATAATAATGGTTGAATACTCACTTCCCTTAAAAAGTTTTCACTGTGATATTTTATTATTTGATTTTTATGGGACTTAAAAATGATATGGTCCCACTCAGGGTTAAAAATAAGAACACATCTAATGTGAAATACAAATTAATGTTTGAAGTGACCATCATTGTGTATTATCCATTTAACAGCTCTCTACTTGTTCAAATAATTTAAAGGTGACTATGTGTAATATTGTTCCCAGAATTCCAGTGTCAATCAATAAATAAAAGCTGTGCTGTGGAGAAAGTATGCTGGATTGAGACAGGTATAGGGGAAATGGCTACAACATTATAATGGAAGATACTGCTGTAGAAAATCATCTATGCAGACAATTTTGGCTTGCCATTTTCATCAGAAGGAATTCTTGTGTTATTAAGCAAGTTATGGAACCAAAGCAAGCTCTCCACTATCCAGCTCTGTTATTATGTGAACACGAACATCACAAAAATTGTCAAAGTCCTCCTTAAAACTTACAGGCTGGGTTAGACACAACTTTCCATCTTCTACAGCCTGTTTCACTTAGAATGTTTTAAATCATTTGTTAATTTTTATTCTTGGTTGATTATACCTCACATTCTGTTTCTTAAAAAAGTAAAACTGTCATCTTTTCTGTTGTCTTTTAGACTCTAATTATATGATCCTGCTCATTTTCAGTAGATCATTTCTCCTTTCACTTTGTTTTCCCTTCTCATTTTAGATCCCCTCTTCTCAAAGTTTCTCATTTTGTTTTCTTTTTATTCTAATCACTGGACCTTTCTTCTTTCGTAAAACTGACTTCTCCCTTGGCACTCTTGACCCTATGCCTATCTGTCAGTTATGTGATCATGCTGTGTTAGCTATCCCTTTGTTTCTTCATTCCCATTCATTCTTCAAAACATATAGGACTTAATTTGCCTCCATGAATCCAATGAGACCATTCTTTGAAAAATCATCAATAGCCCCACAGTACCCAGCCCAGCAGCACCGTGTCAGCATCTGACCTGTTCAAACTCTCAGCAACATCTCATTTATATTTTCCTGCCTTTCATTTGATCAGTTAAGCTGCTGAAACTTGGATTCCCATAAGAGTCTTTGGGATTATCTTAAGTTCATTTTACCAGTCTCTCATTTGAAAATATATGTATCAGGTTGCTTTAGGTGACTGCTCAGCCTCTCTGTTACTCTATCCATTCCTCATGTTGGTGTGGAGCACATTCAGACAATTCTCTCTGTTTCAAATGCTGTCTTGTCTTCTCTTGCTCACACTATAGCGAGACACTATGGTAATATTCCTGAACACAGCTATGATTATTTCTCTCCTGTGCAAAACACTCAATAGTTCTCAACTGAATAGAAAACAAAGTTTGAATTCCTAACTAATGTGTGAAAATCCCTCAACAATTTGGGTCCAACATTCCATTACAGTCTTTATTTCTTACTATGCTTCAACCCACACAACATATATGATACCAATCACCCACCTCAAGGCATTTCCCAAACATGACTTACGCTTTTTAATTATTTTCCTTTGCTCCATCTTCTCTCTTTCTTGAAATGTCCATTTTTTCTTTCCTTAACTGATAATAATCTTTGAACCCATGGGGCATATAAAGTGTCTTGTCCAAATTGAAGTCTTCCCTGATTAAGCCAATGAAAATTAATCTTTCTCTCCCATGGTCTGCTAACATTTTTCATCAATTATTTGTTGAGTATTAAACTATATTCGAAGAACTAGCAATAGAATGATAAACAAAATGTCATGATTCATGAACATTGATTGCTGATAGAAAATGTTATAGTTTGCATTAGATTATAGTCATTTGTGTATAAGCCTGTCCATCTTACAAAATTATAAGGCATGGCTTCCTAAAGGATCATGATTTGCCTTTCACAATACAAAGCTCCTGTGTTAGATGAAATGCATTCAATAAATATTTGTTAAATCAATTCTCTTTAATTAATGTTCAATCATATGATTCATAACAAATAAGAAGACACTCAAGCAATCTGGATGAATGATTGACTTTAATCTGAAAATCTGAGAGGCAAAACTAATAACTAAATAAAAAATGTTGATCATTAATTCATTCTGTACCAGTACAATACTAAAGATGTTTCATTTATTATCTTTCTTACTTTTACAAACAACTCTATGAGATCATCACGTTCATTTTCCTATTTTATAAATGAGAAATAGAGGGATAAGGAAATACAATAACCCTCTTCTCTGATTCCTAATCACTAACAGCCAATCACTAACTCTATTGCATAGACTGCCTATTAATATTTAGTAGTAATAAATATTCAACTTAATTAAAGACACAATTTGATTTTACATTCTGCCAGATCTCATCAATTTAATGTATCAGTCCAATTACGAATGAAACCTAGGTTAAGGTATTCTTAAAATTGTCTTTTTTCTGGGTCAGAACAAGTCATATGGCACCTCTTAACCACAAGAGGTCCAGGAAACACAATCATCTTTTTGCCTCTAAGGCAGAAATTTGGAAAAACTGGTGACAGCATTCCCTAAGACTACCAAAGTTTATCCTTCTGGTCACCAAATACTAGACTACTACCCTTCTTCCCCTAGGCAAAAAATGCACTTATTCATCCCCAAAGAAAGACCACATTAAGCTCTCATCCACTCTCACAGTCAAACTGAATGTCCAAATATCTGAATGATGCACAGTACTATTTATATCAGATTCTAGTGGTATAGGGACAGAAGAATACCTCATTTGGAAAAGGGATGAATGAGGAACACAGAACTGTCACACATCCCTAGTAATTCTGAAATCCTGCTGGTCAGGTGGTATAAGGACTCTTACCCAGAGGGTGGTTAATGTTCCTTAATTAGACTGTGAATCTGCTTCTTGACAGTAACTCCTTATCCATAGTTTGTCATGGCCTCTGAAAGCTCCTTTAAGGAAATTTCTTTTTCATCATTTTTCTTGGTCATATCTGAATTGGGCATGAGAGAAAAAAAAATCCTCCTTCATAAATTAGTAGTATTCTCAGCTCCTTCCCTATATGGACATTCTAAGCACCATTTTAAGACAGTAACAGATGCTTTCGATTCAGCCTGTTGATATTTTTGATAGTGCAAGCCTCTCAAAAACATACTCAATGTTTCTGATTATTTAATAGTTTCTTTCACTATAAATAAGTATTTTCCATAATATTTTCTAATCAATTATTGCCAGGATTTAGGAAAACTAGGATTTTTTGTGTATTCATCTTCTATCTAGTTATTTTTCTAAACATTGTTTTTAACTTGATTAAACTCCTAGTAGATTTCCTTGGATTGCTATGTTATCTGCAATTAACACTTATTGCTGTCTTTCTAATATTCTTCATTAGCTAATTTTCTTGTCTGATAACATATTTTTGATCTTCCAACATAATCTGGAATGTAGCTATGACAGCATATATTTGTGTTTTATTACTGATTTTGTCAATATGTCTAATGTTTCACCATACTTTTTTTAGTTTCCCACTAGATTTTTTTTACCTTTAATAAATAAAAATGTTCTCTTCTATCTTAGCTTTCTAGGAGTTTCAAATACATAACAAATTGACTTTTATCAGTTTATTTTGATTCTGTATTTAGATTATAACATACATTTTTCCCTTTAATTTGTAAATATATTAAATGACATTGTGGATTTATTTCCACTATTGAAGGATTCATGGATTACTGGAATTAAGCAAACTTGGTAATTTTACTTTTTTTTTTGGCTTTATCTATGTGCATAAGTGAGATTTTTCTCTACATTTCTTGCATTGACTTTATCCAGTTTGCTACTGCAATTAGGTTAGACTTGAAAGATAACTTTTTATATTATGGAAATAATCTAATTGTTAGAATAAAGTAACCACATATTTGAATGATAGTGTAATTGAATATGGAACTCTGGATTCTAAGCCATGGAAGATATTATTCCATGGTATTTTTGCCTCCCATGTGGCTGCTGAGGTATCTGATAATAATCTGACTCTTGTTCCTTTACAGGTAGTATCCCCCCTCCCTTTGGTACCTTTAAAGATTTTCTTTATCATTGATATTTTAAAATTTTACTATGATCTGCTGAGAACCAAGATTTGTTTATATGTTGTTTTGTTTTTGTTTGCTTTTTAATTTATCCCTTTAGTACTTAATCTTTCTTCACCATAGGCAAATTATTTGCCATCTTCTTTAAGTAATGATTTCCTTTTATTGTCCCCATTTTCTCTATCTGCAACATCTATAAGATACATTCTACAATTTCTGTGTATGTCTTCCATGCATCTTATATTTTTTATATATTCCTTTCATTTCAGCTCAATAATTTGCTATTCAGCTGTGTCAATTTTGCTATTTGACCATAAAAATATGTGTAGATTTAAGTCCCAACCTCTAATTCATTCTTTTTATATGTAACAACTTTTTGGCATGAATGGCATATTCCTCCTGTTCCTTCGAAAAATTCTACTGGTTATAATTTCTGTACTTATTTTTAGTTAACTCTCCATCTTCAAGTATATGTTCTTGTTTGAAATCTCTTTTATTCAATATGTTAATGCTACTCACATAGTTGGTGATGTGCTCATCATTTTAGTTGCTGTAACCGTAGGCTGTCTGCTTCTGTGTTTACAGAACTTGCCTTGAATAGGGCAGGAACTCTTGCCCAGCTTGTACTCTATATCAGGATGGTGAATACTCACCATGAAATGCTACTAGTGGTTCACTTCCATGGCTTATCTTCTGACTGTTGATGTTTTTTGTTCTTTTCAGATATCATCAACCATTTGGATCCCTGTCCTCTCATTTATCCTCAGGTCCACCATTTATTACTCCTGTGTGTAGACAGTTAACCCATTATTGCCTGGTTCACTTGGAGTTGGGGGTGAGACATGTGTCCAGGAGACACCCATAGCATTTGAAAGTCTTGCACGTTTCCGTGGCAGAATACAAATGAATTCCGTGTGAGATCCCCCAGGTTTTCTCCTGCTCTTTTCTTCCACAACTTCTGTGGCAATATTTTTTTTCTGCAACTTCTGGCATTTTTTCTTTAATAATGTCTGCTTTCAGTATTTCAGGAATTTTGCAGGTTCAAGTTCTAGCAAATTCTCCTCCTTGTGTTTGAACAGCTATGAGCTTTTATGTAGAAAGGAGAATTGCATCATGTGCTTATTTTACCATCCTAAATATTTTTTCAGATTGCTATAAAATTTTAAAAATTCTCATTTATAACCTTCAGATTCCTGAGGTCAGCTCCTCAGATCGAAATTTTTTTAAACACTGTACTTTACCACATGACCTCTAAGTTAAAATAGCACAGTTGGATTTCTTCTGCAATTGGATTTGCTTTGGTACTGTTTTGACAAGCATCTCAAAGCAATCTGGAAAATATTTTTGTTCATGAAAAATCTTCCTTGCCTGCACATCAACTTCTGAAACAAAACAGGTGTGAAAAGCACAAAGCAGAGCAATTTGTACAGATGGTATGGAGGTCAAGAGAAAAAATTTTACATTCCCCAGAGTTGACAGTTGTGTGTAGTGTTAAAAAGCCAGTTATAATGTCTTGCTAATAATCAGTTATTTAACAGGTTTGTGTACTCAGTGGCTCTCCAGTAACATTGTTCTTTAGAATCGAATAGTTGGAAATGGTGTGTTAGACAATATTGGAACTTCTTATAATTAGATGGAATACCAACCAGGGATAGTTGTAAACAGAGACTATTTAAAAGACTAGAAATATTGTACCTAATTTAGTGAGTTTTGTGAAGGAATCTTGTACATTTTTCATTATCAAGCAGCACTGCATTAATTATTTAGCCAAGATTCTTGAGACAGCCACCAAATTGATGTATTGAGTTGCCAATATAAAAATGAGCCATTTATAATTAATTATCCCTAAAGCAATCCTTTTTAACATCAACACATTTTCTTGGGTTTATTAACTTTATAATAAGCCTATCAATATTTTCACTTGGTAACAATCTGAAAGAACTGGACATAAGCACATTTTGCTAGAAATGTTAGTAAAAATTACATAGTACCAAATTACCAAAATATTAAAAATTTAATTCTCATTTAAGAAATTGCATAAGAGATTTGCAGAATTATCTGCAATTTATATACTTTCATTAGACTCTTCCTACTTTGCTTTATGTACTTTCGGGTCACAGGCTCTGGGTAGCACTGCCTTTTTGGCTGGACATCACATGGGTGCAGTGAAGCATCACAAAAATTTCTTCACTTTTAGGGCTATATTAAGATCTTAAACCTACTTGGGGAAGCCATCTATGAATATTCTTGTTGGAACAAGCATTTGTCCTTTACCATAAATTATTCACCATGGGGGATCAAGGGAAATATATCTCATCAAATTTTAGGGGAACATAAATTAGTATAAAATCATTTGGGGTATGAAAGTAATCTTGAATTTCTGTATAGTGTGGTAAGGGGCAACCACATCACACAATCCAAGGACTAGAATTTACAGAGGAAGACTGAAGCCCAAAATAGTTTTACCATCAAGCATGGCTATATCTGCCATTTGAAACTGGTACTTATCTGGCTAGTTCATTCATCCATCTATACCCTTAAAGAAAATTTGTCATTTAATAACATCATGATGACTACTCATCCAACTGCATTTAGACCTAGAGATTTTGCAGCATGTTTACAAATTTTGATAAAAAGTAAAATGCATTTGACACTGAAGACTTATATGGTGGTATTTATGGTATCTGTTACTGCTTATTTAGCCTTTCTCACGAAGATCTGTTAAAGGTTTATGACTGTAATGAAAGACAAATACTTTGCCTTTCATTCTGAGATGTTTACTAAGTAGTTCATCTTCTCGATTTTAAACCAGTTTTTAGTTCAGTGAGCAGATATTATGTCAGCTCATAAGTGCTTTAATGCCAGTTTCTTGAGAGAGAAGCATTACTGGCTCCCCCAGGAGTTTTTTGTTTGTTTATTTTAGACTTGGGAAAGTTTCACAAGTATACAGAGTCTCAGATCCAAAATAATACTCTTAGAGTCAGGACAAATAGAAAAGCTCTAAAATGGTCCCAGTCACTTGTTATTCTGCATTTAGACAGCCTAGATATTGTAACTGGACAGAATTAATTTTTATCTTAATTCCACATTTTACTAGCTTTGTTATCTTGTAGAAACTGCTTGGTTTCTCTGTAACTGGACAGACTCAAGTTTTTGGCTTAATTTCACATCTTCTTGCTTTGTTATCTTGCAGAAACTGCTTGGTCTCTCTGGGTTAGTTTCTCATTCTGAAAAAATTAATAGAATACGTACTTTTCATGTCTGTCTGTATGTGTGTGTAGATATAGCAACAGCTTCAAGAATTGTGAGCACTTCATACAAAATCTTGTTTAATACTCACGACACTCCTGTAGGTAACTACTATTGTTGTATCCTATTTTACAAAGAAAGAAGCCAAGTTCAGAGACAATAAGGAACTTGCCATAAATCAATGAGCAAATAATTATTGATATTGGGGTGTATTTATAGTGCCCTCACAATTTTCTTCTATTTTATGGTGCATATTTGGGCTTTGTAACTCCTAGGGCAAAGAAATTCAAATGACTTCTGCTTTCAACTTCTGTACATACAAAGATTGAGCCCATTGGATCTAAGTTCCAAGGGCCACAATATATCAAAGCTGAGAGTCCTTGGAGCCAAGCAAGAGAACTATATTTCCACCAAATGAAACTTTGTAGCAATATAGGGAGACATGTGGGAGTGAGAATTACTTATGTCAGGATACGTCAATTATGCAAATTGTACTTAAAAACAAAGGAAAAGACTAAGTGGGGTACCACAGACAGATGCAGTAATTGCCAAAAAAAAAAAAAAAAAAAAAAAAAAAAAACTTGCATTATCATTGTCTTTGGTCCTTCCCCATCTTGGCTGTTTCCATAAAATCATATTTCATCTTCAAAACAATCTTATGATCCAAACAAACTTATTCTACTTTTTAGATTATAAGACCTAGACTCAAAAGGTAACTTTCCCAAGGTCAGAGAATTTTCAATAATGCACTTAAAACTCAACTTTGATGACCTCTGTGGTTCTGGCCATGGGTTTATCTAAATACTCTTGAACTTAGCTTTACTTACTTACATATATTCTGAATGGTAGCACATTTAAGAATTTTACTGCCACTGTGGGAAGTGCTTTTATCTTTGGTTCTGAAAATTATTTCAAGGCGCTGATATAGAGGTAGAGGTGGCAACTAGAACAAGAAGAAAATAATGGAATTAATGAGATATGGTGTTATGATCTGAATGTTTATGTCCCTTCACAATTCATATATGAAACCTAACCTCCAAGATAATTGTCTTAAGTTGTGGAACCATTGAGAAGTGATTAGATCATGAGGCTTTACCTTTATGAATGAGATTAATGCCTTTATAAAAGTGCTTGAGGGCGTTTGTTTGCTCCTTCCACTGGGTGAGGACACAACAAAAAGGTACCACCTTTGAAGGACAGCAGCCCTCACTAGATACTGAATCTTCTGGCACCTTGATCTTGGACTTTCTAGCCTTCAGGACTGTAAACAATAGATTTCTATTGTTTATAAATTACCCAGTCTAAGGTATTTTGTTTTAGCAGCTGGAACAGTCTAGGACATAAGAATTTTCTCTAGGCCTTCATTCCATTAGGTATATACTGTATATACACCTATTGTGTATATATATACACACACATATATATGTATATATATACACACACATATGTATATATGTATATGTATATATTTATATATACACACACATATATGTATATATGTGTGTGTATTTATTTATATATACACACACATATATGTATATATGTGTATGTATATATTTATATATATAAATATATATAAAAATATATATAAATATATATATAAATATGTATATAAATATATATAAAAATATATATAAATATATATATAAATATGTATATAAATATATATAAATATATACATATATAAATATATATAAAAATATATACATATATATAAATATATATATATATTAGAATAGAAGTCAACTAGACCATTCAAAGTCCATGGAGGTCTATTTGCCTGTGGAAGGGTCCCAGAACATTTGTAATCCTTCTGATACAGGGAAAATTATATGTGTACTTAAATATCTGCAGTTGCTTTAGGGTGAGAAACCAAGCCTAAGACACATTTTTATTACATACCTAATGTGGGCTGTGAACTGTGTTTGTCCTAGGCTTATGGTGGTGACTTTTAAGAAGTACAAAGAGTCTGAAATTCTACTCTACTTTCAAGCTTACAAGTTAGCCTGCCACAGGTGCATGAATACTGGCATAATGCATGAAACTCTTTGGTCAGAAACAAAGGCCAGTTCATTATTCACAATAATAACATTAGCTGAGCTATAAGCATTTGTAGCAGCTCTCCAGGCCTAGATTTTCCCTGGGTGCTGTAAAGAGTGCTGGGTAGGTAGCAAATGTACACATAGTGGAATGTGTTACAGGCAAGGACCCCTGAGTTTAGGAAATTCTAATCTTTTATAAGGTGCAGTAAGCATGCCTGACCTTTGCATTATGTATACTACACTAAACAGCAAGAATGACTGCTTGAGATACACTATGTTGTTACATATCTTAGCAAACATGCTTGAAAGATAGGAGAAAAGGCAGTCGATGTTTCTGCTATCAACATGTGTAGATACCTGAGACACTCATGGACACTTGTTTCCCAATAATAGCAAAAGACTACTCATACAGTTCTCTGCCTTCATGGACATTTTTTTGTCTTGGTTTGTAAACAAATGCCAAGGTTAATATTATAGGCCCTCATATCCATGAGTTCTACATCCATGGATTCAACCAACGGCAAATTGAAAATTTTTGAAACAAAATTGCATCTGCACTGTATATGTGCAGACTTTTTTCCTTGTAATTATTCCAACAGTACAGTATAGCAACTATTTACATAGGTTTTACATTGTATTAGGTATTATAAGTAATCTTGAGATGATTAAAAATATACAAAGGACGTACCTACAAAGTATTTGATAGGTTTATGCAAATACTGTGCCATTTTCTGAAAGGAAATTCAGCATCCATTGATTTCTGATATCCACAGGAAGTCCTGGAACAAATCCCCAACAGACACTGAGGAACAATTGTAATTATAAATTGTGATAATAATTGAGAAGAAAAAAGAGCAGTATGCTATCAGAAATGCAGAAGGATGAGTTAGATTCAAGGAGCTTAGAAATGGCTTATCTGAGAAAGGGACTTTTAACCTGAGGTATGAAAAGAAGTTGGGCAGGTAGAATTGAGAAGAAAGCATTGTAAAACAGCATATTTGAAGGTCCAGATTCCCTAGAATTCAGAGATTGTTAGAACAGCCAGGACAGTAGGAATATTCAAGGGAGGAGATAAAGGAAGGGGATGTGATTGAATGGGTAGGCAGAAACAGATTATTATCTGTTTCAAAGAGCAATGAGAAAGCCACGGAATGCTTTAACTGGGAAGTCTAGTCGTCTGATTCACATTTTAAAAGATAGTTATACTATATGTGGGATGCAGAGGAGGAAAAATTAGTGGAAGAGAAAAATCAGATAGGAAGCTGCTGGATGATAGTGTTTGGCAATGATGACGGCAGTAAAGATGAAGATGAGTGATACTCAGGGCTGTCTTTTTTGTTTTAACCTTCTATTTCCTGGCTGTTAAAAAATTGAATATATTTTCACTTTTCCATATCCTTCCCAATTGTGCAGTTTACTACTGAATAGAAGTAGTAAACCATGAGGGAGGCTAAGCTACACTGAAATGTGGGATCTGCAATGGCATGATGATCAGAATATTATCGTACATCCAATTGTTAACAAATATTCCCAGGTTTAGGTCCAATTTGCATATATGTGTTGTTTCCTAGTTGCTGAAACTAAATATTTTTTATCTTTATACCTCATTTCCTGGAATAGTGTTTTGTTTAGTCACCTTAAATATTTGCAAAGTAAATTATTTAATTCATGAATCATGGATGAAAGCATAAAGGATCTGTGATCATCAGGATTTATTTTCTTGTTTTTATGATCACTCTAAGAAACAGAATGGATCTCCAACCCCAAATTTGGTTCAGATATCAAAATTGATGATACTACACTCATACCATGAGGGTAAGAAAAGATTTATTAGTCACACAATAAGGCTTTCTGGGCAGAGCAGGGCATGCCTCCCAAGCTGGTCCAAAAATGTCTTGAGAAAACAGGGAAAGGAGACTGGCATCGGGTTTTTATGAGCTGGGGGTGGGATTGAGGTGAGGGTTCATATGCATAGTTTGAACTTCCTGCCTGCGCAAAAGGAGGAAGCTGGGGGGCTTTGCCAGCTGTAGGGCTTCCCGGGAAGAGGATAGAATGAAACTTACACACTATCAGTAATCGAACATCAAAAAAATGGGATTGGACTCTCGATTATACTTATTTACTAGAATGAAACTTGAGAGACAAGTTTGTATATGATGTATATGTACTGGGGTATGGCAATGTTCACTACAAAGTATAATGTAGTCTTTTCTTGCCATTAAACTTCTGGTCAACAAAGAGGACATTGAGATCAAGTATCTCTCAATACTTCACAATAAGTAGCTATCTTGCAGAATAAAGTTGATCTTGCTAGCTAGATATTAGTTTGTTATTAACAAAATTTTGGTCATTATATTCCTATCACAAAATTATATTTGTATTTAGTAGGTGGCCATTATTATGTATTGTTATCTTATTGTAGGCACTAAGGAGGATTGGCAGGACTTTCAACATAAACACCATTGCATTGTACCAGGAAATTTGGCTAGGGAACAAAAAGAAGCTCTAGTTGACATTTCTTTCCCAAAGCTTAATAATCAGAGCAGGCACATTTAAATAGTTCACCTTTTCTGGGCAGTAAACAGGTTTGGCAGGACTGAAACAAATTGGATGTGCCCATCATAATCAACTTAGAAAAGAAAAGAATGGGAAAAATGCCCAGAAAGAAGAGAATGTATTAATATAAAGTCTTGCAAAAAAATAAAAATATTTAGAAACAGAATGTGTGCTCAATTACAGCCCAAAAAATGGAAACAAAATAATTGGATGGGACATTTCCTCAGCACATTTGCATATTTGAAAAAAACAGACCTCCATTTTTTTCTGGTATGAGGATGTAATAGTCATTCACATTCTTACAACGATGAGACCATTGCAACTTATGATTATTCTGGAACTGATTATCTAGTTTGGGGGCTCTCCACTCCCATTGCTTCTCTCTCTTCTTTTGCTTCCTGCCTTTTGGCTGCTTCTCTGACCATTACCATTTATTCAGTAGTGAGTGTCTGCAAATGAAGTAATAAAGGAAATGAAATTCAAGGGAATGTGTTGGCTACCTATTAGAATCTTGGCTAACAGGATTAATGAAGGTAAAAATGGGTTTTTCTGTCTGCGAAAAGATTTTACTTTTCTATGCCATTGTCCCTCAATCATCATGGATGATTTAGGGCTGGCTGCATATAACTGAACAAAGACTTCTGTCTCTTCTGGTTGTGCAGACATTGTATGAAGTCGTAGATACTGGTTTCAATGATTGTGTGATTTTGGAGAAAACAAAAAAACATAATCACATACTTATAAAACCACTCAGGGATTAGATATAGATACCCGTCAAATAGCTACAATTATAGTAAATTAATGATTTGGTGGTTTTATAATTGGCATAAATAGTAAAGGATACTTATAAATATTTGTATGGAAAATCCTTTGGCAAGAATTAATACTATTTCTCTATTAGTATTTTATGCAAGACAATCAATACTTGACAGGTAAGATCAGATACTTCTCTCTCGACTTTTTAAACATTTAGCTTAATAGAATTTACCACCATTGAGATGCACTGAGAAGTAAAATTTTAAAGAAAGACTGGAAAATGATGTCTTAAAAAGAATTGGTTAATGTTATAAAATGTTGCTGTATGTTAAGATCTTGTATTTTAAATTTGATATTGTTTAATATTTTTACTTTTAAAAATGCATGAGAGTAATGTGTCTGGAATTGGTGGGTTCTTGGTCTCACTGACTTCAAGAATGAAGCCACGGACCCTCGCGGTGAGTGTTGCAGTTCTTAAAGGTGGCGTGTCCAAAGTTTGTTCCTTCTGATGTTCGAATGTGTTCGGAGTTTCTTCCTTCTGGTGGGGTTCGTGGTCTCGCTGGCTCAGGAGTGAAGCTGCAGACCTTAGCGGTGAGTGTTACAGCTCTTAAGGCTGCGCATCTGGAGTTGTTCGTTCCTCCTGCTGGGTTCGTGGTCTCGCTGGCTTTAGGAGTGAAGCTGCAGACCTTCCCGGTGAGTGTTACAGCTCATAAAGGCAGTGTGGACCCAAAGAGTGAGCAGCAGCAAGATTGATTGCAAAGAGCGAAAGAACAAAGCTTCCACAGTGTGCAAGAGGACCGCAGGTTGCCACTGCTGGCGCCGGCAGTCTGCTTTTATTCTCTTATTTGGCCCCACCCACATCCTGCTGATTGGTAGAGCTGAGTGGTCTGTTTTGATAGGGTGCTGATTGGTGCGTTTACAATCCCTGAGCTAGACACAAAGGTTCTCCACCTCCCCACCAGAGTAGCTAGATACAGAGTGTGATTGGTGCATTCACAAACCCTGAGCTAGACACAGGGTGCTGATTGGTGTGTCCACAAACCTTGAGCTAGATACAGAGTTCCGATTGGCATATTTACAATCCCTGAGCTAGACATAAAGGTTCTCCACGTCCCCACTAGATTAGCTAGATACAGAGTGTCCACACAAAGGTTCTCCAAGACCCCACCAGAGTAGCTAGATACAGAGTGTCAATTGGTGCATTCACAAACCCTGAGCTAGACACAGGGTGCTGACTGGTGTGTTTACAAACCTTGAGCTACATACAGAGTGCTGATTCGTGTATTCACAAACCCTGAGCTAGACCTAAAGGTTCTCCATGTCCCCACCAGACTCAGGAGCCCAGCTGGCTTCACCCAGTGGATCCCACACCAGGGCTGCAGGTGGAGCTGCCTGCCAGTCCTGCACTGTGCGCAGGCACCCCTCAGTCTTGGGCGGTCGATGGGACTGGGTGTGTGGAGCAGGGGGCAGGGCTTGTCTGGGAGACTCAGGACACGCAGGAGCCCACGGCGGTGGGCAGGGAGACTCAGGCATCACGGGCTGCAGGTCCCGAGCCCTGCCCTGCAGGGAGGCAGCTAAGGCCGGGGGAGAAATCCAGCACAGCGCCAGTGGGCCGGCACTGCTGGGGGACCCAGCACACCCTCTGCAGCTGCTGGCCCAGGTGCTAAGCCCCTCATTGCCTGGGGCCTGCAGGGCCAGCGGCTCTGAGTGCAGGGCCCGCCAAGCCCATGCCCACCCAGAACTCCAGCTGGCCCGCAAACACCACGCGCAGCCCCGGTTCCCGCTCGCGCCTCTCCCTCCACACGACCCTGCAAGCTGAGGGAGCCGGCTCCGACCTTGGCCAGCCCAGAAAGGGGCTCCCACAGTGCAGCAGTGGGCTGAAGGGCTCCTCAAGTGCCACCAAAGTGGGAGCCCAGGCAGAGGAGGCGCCGAGAGTGAGCGAGGGCTGCGAGGGCTGCCAGCATGCTGTTACCTCTCACTAACAGAAATTATGTGTTTTTCCCTTTTTGTCATTGTCTTGGTTCTCCTTAGCTGTATCTACCTATTTGAAAGATGACATTCCTCTGCCTTTCTCTGAGCCTTTGGCTTCGGGCCATTCTTTGTATTTACTGCATTAATTATTAGCTACTTAACATTTATACTGAAGACCTTACAGTTCCTAGGTCTGGAAATTTCTTGAGTTTTGCAATTTCAGGAACTTCCTCCCCATGTTATATCAAATCCTTACATACATTGTGGCACTTTGAAATCATTCACATTCAATCTTTAAGATCTTAAATGCTGACATCTCCTTTTCTGACTATACCATTTGTTCCCCAGATGCCTAATGTCCAGCCTATGTTTATATTCATTGTAAATTCCAGCTTCTAAGAAATAACAATGCTAAATTATTTTAAAAACATATACAAGTTTTTTCTTTTGAGACAGGGTCACCCTGTCACCCAGGCTAGAGTGCAATGGGGCAATCTCAGCTCACTGCAATCTCTGCCTCCTGGGATAAAGTGATCCTCCCATCTCAGCCTTCCAAGTAGTGGGAACCATAGGTGTGCACCACCACACCTGGCTAATGTTTGTCTTTTTTGTAGAGATGGCGTTTCACCATGTTGCCCAGACTGGCTGCGAAGTCCTGGGCTCAAGCGACCCACCCACCTCTGCCTCCCAAAGTGCTGGGATTACAGGGGTGAGCCATGGCATCCAGCCAAAAAACATATATTTGCAAGTAAAAAAATGACCAGTAAAGCCAACAAAATATATATTTATAGATAGGAATGAAATCTCATTCATTTTCACTCCTCCAATCCTGCTTCCAGTAGCAAAACATCTTTCTAAAAGTTTGAGACACCTCGTTTTAAAATTTGGCTTGTACAGATTTTGGAATCAATTTACATATAATATCTATATTCTTAATCTAATTTTATTTTTAACCCTTTTTGGGGTTGATTAACTTTCATTGTTTGGTTTTATTAGCTTCTCTAATCTGCTTGGACAATGCAGCTTATCATTAATGCTATAGATGAACAGTGTAAGAATAATCTGGGAGTTTATTAAAAAGGCAGAATATCAGGTCCCATAACAGATGCATTGAATCAGAATTTGCATTTTTATAAGATCTCAGGGACTTTATTTGCATATTAAAATTTGATAAGCATTAATTTTTGCCATGCTTCCACCATGCTCCTAAAAAAAATGTAACTACAGTGGTGCCAAGCACAAAATGTGAATACAAATCAACATAATACAGATTCTGCCTTCACCACATACAGGCCTACCCCATTTTATTGAGCTTTTGCAGATACTGAACTTTTTACATATTTCTAAAGGTTTTTGGCAACTTTGCCTCAGGCAAGTCTGTGGGAGCCATTTTTCGAATAGCAAGTGCTCACTTTGTTAGAAATTTTTAGCAATAAAATATTTCTAAATTAAATTGTATACATTTTTTAGATATAATGCTACTGCACACCTAATAGACTACAGTATAGTGTAAACATAACTTTTACATGCACTGGAAAACAAAAAATTTGTGTGACTTGCTTTATTGTAATATTTGCTTTATTGCAGTGGTCTGGAACAAAATGTGCAATTTCTCTGAGTTATGTTTGTATTTATTTCATGACCCTGAAAAAGTTATTTCATCATTCTGTGACTCATTGTATTCATCTATAAAATGGATGAACAATTATGGATGGTATAAAGATTGAGTGAGATTATATGTATAAGTATACTAAACAGTACCCGGCACAACAAATAATAACCACTATTATAATGTTTATATTCTCCTTCTGAATGATTCAATCTTATATTCCCCCAAACATCCTTAATTGTATGTTATTCAAAAATTTTCCCTCAAATCACTGCAACAAGAGAGAATCTTTAATACATGATGTAGGGACAACTATACATTTGGAATAAGATAAAATTAGATCCTTCATACCTCAGACCACACACAAGAATAAACTCCAAGTGAATTAGGGAACTAAATGTTAAAAAAAAATCATACTAGAAGAAAACATAGGTGAATTATTTTTAAATATCAATTTAGGGAAAACCTCTCTAACTATGACACAAAATCCAGAGACAATAAAAGAAAATGACAAATTTGACTACAAAAATATCTCAAAATTGCAGGGACACAAAACTATTAAAAAAGTTATTTTGACAAGCTGGGAAAAAATACTTGCAACCTATATTAAATAAAAATTACTAATATTCCTAGTATGTAAAGAATGCTTTCAAATTGAGGATTGAAAAACACCAAAGCTTGTTTAAAAAAAAAGGGGACAGGGCATGAACAGATAATTATTAGAAGATATAAAAATGTCCCATAGCCGAGGCAGAGCTTGCAGTGAGCTGAAATGGCACCACTGCACTCCAGCCTGGACGACACAGCAAGACTCCGTCTCAGAAAAAAAAAAAAAAAGTCCCATAGCCACATTAAGTATGTTTAAAATCACTCAAAATTAGAAAAATACAAATGAGACAACACTGAAATGTGACTTCTCATTAATAACTTGAAAATTAAAATGTATGGCATGGCAACATATTCTGTTGCTTAGACCTTGGGGAAAAAGGCAGTCTCATACATTGCTAGTGAGAATGCTCACTGGCACAAATCTTCTGGAGGAAAATCTGGCAACATCAAACAAAACTACATATGCAGTTAGCTTTAGACATACCATCCTTATTTTTAAGAATATGTCTCCAACAATATAAAAATATATATATGTACAAGAGTATTTGTTGATGCAATGTGTGTAATTTCAAAATAATGTAAACAACCTCTGAAATACAAAAGTGATTCCAAAAATTATGGTACATTCCAAAATGGAATATTATGCAGTTGTAAAACAAAAATGAGGAATATCCCTACGAATTCATGAGGAGTGATTTACATGCTTCATTTTTAAGTTGAAAAGGAAAGTGCAAATTGTTATGCTACACTTATGTAAGAAATAAGAAATACAAATATACATGTATCTGCTAACCTATGCAGAAAGAAATACAGAAAAAAACTAAGAACTATTGAGATTGGTGGGTAGGAATTGGGTGAAAAGAACAATGACATAGGAACAAGTTAAAGGGGCTCAAGGAGATGTGCTCTGCATTCACCTTTTTGTATAGTTCTGAATTTTAGAATTATGATGATAGTTCACTTACTCCCCAAAGTAACAATCATCATCATCATTGAAAATGTGGGAGCCAACCAAAATGAAATAAAAACAGTAATGCATTGATATGGTTTGGCTGTGTTACCACCCAAATCTCATCTTGGATTGTAGCTCCCATAATTCCCACATGTTGTGGGAGGGACCCAGTGGGTGATAATTGAATCATGGGGGTGGTTTTCCCCATACTGTTCTTGTGGTAGTGAATAAGTCTCACCAGATCTGATGGTTTTATAAGGGGAAACCCCTTTCACTTGGTTGTCATTCTCTCTTTGCCTGCTGCCATGTAAGATATGCCTTTCACCTTCCACTATGATTGTGAGGCTTCTTCAGCCACATGGAACTCTGAATCCATTAACCCTCTTTTTCTTTATAAATTACCCAGTCTTGGGTACATCTTTATCAGCAGCATGGACATAAGCTAATACAGTAAATTGGTGCTGGTAGAGTGGGGTGCTGCTGTAAAGAAACCCGAAAATGTGGAAGCAATTTTGGAACTGGGTAACAGAGAGGTTGGAACAGTTTGGAGGGCTCAGAAGAAGACAGGAAAATGTGGGAAAGTTTGGAACTTCCTAGAGACTTGTTGAGTGGCTTTGGCTGAAATGCTGATAATGATATAGACAATGAAATCTAGACTGAGGTGGTCTCAGACGGACATGAGAAACTTGTTGGGAACTAGAGTAAAGGTTACACTTGCTATGTTTTAGCAAAGAGACTGGCAGCATTTTGCCTCTTCTCTGGAGATTTGTGGAACTTTGAACTTGAGGGGAATGATTTAGGGTATCCGGCAGAAGAAATTTCTAAGCAGCAAAGCATTAAAGATGTGATTTGGATGCTATTAAAAGCATTCAGTTTTAAAAGGGAAACAGAGTGTAAAAGTTTGGAAAACATGCAGCCTGGTGATGTGATAGAAAACAAAAACCCATTTTCTAAGGAGAAATTCAAGTCAGCTGCAGAAATTCACATAAGTAATGAGGAGCCAAATGTTAATCACCAAGACAATGAGGAAAATGTCTTCAGGGCATGTCAGAGACTTTGTGGCAGCCCCTCCCATCACAGGCCCAGAGGCCTAGGAGAAAAAAATGATTTTGTGAGCTGGGGCCCAGGGCCCTCGTGCTGTCTGCAGCCTAGGGACTTGGTGCCCTGTGTCCCAGATGCTCTAGCCATGGCTAAAAGGGGACAAGGTACAGCTTGGCTGTGGCTTCAGGGGGTGCATGTGCCAAGCCTTGACAGGTTCCACATGGTATTGAATCTGAAGGGTGCACAGAAGTTAAGAATTGAGGTTTGAGAACCTCTGCCTAGATCTCAGAGGATGTATGGAAATGCCTGGATGTCCAGGCAGAAGTTTGCTGCAAGGGCAGGGCCCTCATGGAGAACCTCTGCTAGGGCAGTTCAGAAGAAAAATGTGGAGTTGGAGCCCACACACAGAGTCCCTACTGGGATAGAACCTAGTGGAGCTGTGGGAAGAGGGTCACCATCCTCCAGACCCCAGATGGCAGATCCACTGACAGCTTGCACCATGTACCTGGAAAAGCCACAGACATCAACACCAGCCAGTGAAGGCAGCCAGGAGGGAGGCTGTACCCTGTAAAGCCATAGGGCAGAGTTGCCCAGGACCGTGGGAACCCACCCCTTACATCAGTGTCACTTGGATGTGAAACATGGAGTCAAAGGAGATCATTTTGGAGCTTTAAGATTTGACTGCCCCACTGGATTTCAGACTTGCATGGGGCCTTTAGCCTCCTGGTTTTGGCCCAAGTCTCCCATTTGGAATGAGTGTATTTATCCAATGCCTGTGTCCTCACTGTACCTAGGAAGTAACTAACTTGCTTTTGATTTTACAGGCTCATAGGCAGAAGAGACTTGCTTTGTCTTGGATAAGACTTTGGACTGTGGACTTTTGAGTTAATGCTAAAATGAGTTAAGACTTTGGGGGACTGTTGGGAAGGCATGATTGGTTTTGAAATGTGAGGAAATGAGATCTAGGAGGAACCAGGGGTGGAATGATATGGTTTGACTCTTTCCCCACCCAAATCTACCTTGAACTGTAGCTCCCATAATTTCCATGTGTTGCGGAGGGACCCAGTGGGAGATAATTGAATCATTTGGATGGTTTTCCCCATACTGTTCTTGTGGTAGTGAATAAGTCTCATGAGATCTGATGGTTTTATAAGAAGAAACCCCTTTCACTTGGTTGTCATTCTTTCTTTGTCTGCTGCTGTGTAAGATGTGCCTTTTTCCTTCCGCCATGATTGTGAGGGCTCCCCAGCCACATGGAGCTGTGAGTCCATTAAACCTCTTTTTTTTTTTAATAAATTACCCAGTCTCGAGTATGCCTTTATCAGTAACATGAAAATTGACTAATACACACATGAACCTAACTATACTGAAAATGAATAACATCAACACACAGTAAGTTGTCCTAGAAAAATATTAACTTAAATACATTTGGAAAACTTTGCTTTGACTACATACTGTAAGGCTAAAGACAAAGAGAACTGAACACAAATATTGCACTCCAGTTAGTACATTGGCTTTTCACAGGAACATGAGTTAGCAATCTTAAAATAGGTTTACATGTATTCTAGAATTGAGAAAAAACATATTGTGAATAATATATAAAAATTTTCTAAGTACTGGATATTGAAATTACAAAAAGAAAGAAAAGCTAAAATTAATCCTATGCTCTTAAATTGGAATTTGAGATTTTAGTATAAACTCATAGTTTTTAAGACTGATAGATAGATAGATAGATAGATAGATAGATAGATAGATGGATTGATAGATTGATACATAGACAGATAGACATAGGAATAGATACTGAGGTAAATATATATATGTGGCAATTTTAAAATATGGCCACAAATTATTTGATATTCTTCCCTTCAAAAAGCAGAACATTTCTCTTCCCTTGAATGCAGACTGTACTTAATAACTCACTTCTAATGAATTGAGAATGTCAGCAGATATGACAATATGTGACTCTGAAATTAGAACATAGAAAGCATGTGGTGTCTTCCATTTCTGTTCTCTTGAACGTTTTCTCTGAGAAAAGCCTCCGCCATGTCATGAGAATACTCAAGCAGCCCTATGGAGAGGTTCATGTGTCAAGGAACTAAGGCTTCTTGCCCTAGCCAGCAAGAAACTGAGGTTTTTTTGCTAAGCATAATGTCACATGAGTAAACCATATTGGAAGCAGACCCTCCAGCACTGGATGAACTTTCAGTTTACTGCAGCTCAAATTGATATTTTTATTACAATCTTATAAGAACTGAGTCAGAGCCACCAAACTAAGGCACTACCAGATTTCTGACCCACAAAAACTATGAGAAAATGCATTTTTTAAGCTGCTAAACTTTGGAAGTAAGTGGTTATGCAGTAATAGCTAACTAATACAGATATTGGCACTAGGAAAGAGTGCTGCCATAACAGAACCTACAATGTTGGAATGACTTTACAATGAGGTGATAGGTATAAGCTAGCAGGACTTTGGGGAAAATGTTTGTGAAACCCCAGAGACTATTGAAAAGCTTGTGAGTAGAAATCTGATGGCTTTTGAGGAGGCTGCCAATAATGGGTTAAAGAAAGTGAGAAGAACATTATTGGAAAGATACTGTTAGAAAGGGAGTCCTGCTAACCAGTGGTGGAAAGTTTAATGACATTTTTTTCCTGTGGTAATGTGGAAAGTAGAAAATGTACCTAAGTGCTTTTGCTAAGGATTATTTCCAAGCAGAGAGGTGAAGGTGTACCAGATTTCTTCTTGCTCTGTACGGTAAATTTTGAAAGGAGAGAGATAAGCTAAAGTGTGGCTTGTTAACAAGGAACCAGGATTTGATAATTTTGAAGATTCTCCAGATGGCAAATAATATTACACATAGGAAATTATTTCAAGATCAAATCAAGGGCATGACAGGGAATATTTGGTCTAGAGATAAAGCTAGAGATAAAGGGTAAGACTCTATAACTTCACTTACAAAACAAGAAATTTAATAACAAATTTATTATTTTATTTTATTTTTGAGACAAGGTGTCACTGTTTCACCAGGCTGGAGTGTAGTGGCATGGTCGTATTTCACTACAGCCTGCAGCCTTGACCTCCCAGACTCAAGTGATCCTCCTGTCTCAGCCTTCTGAGTAGCTGGGACTATAGGAGTGCACCACCATATGTGACTAATTATTATTGTTATTTTTTTATAGAGACATGGTCTCACTATATTGACCAGGATAGTCTCAAACTCCTGCATTCAAGCAATCCTCCCACCTTGGCCTCCCAAAGTACCGGAATTATGGGCATGAGCCACACTTCTGGCTGACAAATTTATTAAGAATATAAACACTAAATCCAAAGTGTGAGGTCCTCTCACAAAGAGTGAATGATGGCACATACATTTGTGCGTTGGAGAGAAGAGAACCAAGGAGAAAACAATGGGGCATCCCATAACTTATTGAGTAGAGAGAAGAAATATAACAAGAAGACTGAAAGGAATGGTCTGAGAGATTGAGGCAGAATCAAAAAAGGGTAGAAGCAGAGAATAACAGCAAATTGAGATTTTCCAGGAAAAGATAGTGTTTACTGGTGCTTAATGCTGCAGAGTGGTTAAATAAAATGAGGACTGATTCTTGCCAGAAGAACTACCATAGAGTCGTGACGTAAAAGCCTAACTGAATGGATTTTATGGGTAAACAGACATATCACAAAAGTGGAGCTAGCTCATGGAAACTATTCTTTTAAGTTTGACTATGAAAGAGAAAGATAGAATCCTAATCTGAGAGGGGCTTGAACATGTTATTGACTATAGGGAAGAGACCATTGGAGAGACAGCCTAAAAATAAAGGCAAGGAAATAGTGAATGGAGAAAGAATCTAAAGTAAGGAAAATGTTAGACCCCACAGCGTATTTTTTTTTTTTGAGACAGGGTCTTGCTCTGTCGTCCAGGCTGGAGAGCGGTGGTGTGATCGTGGCTCACTACAACCTCAAACTCTTGGGCTCAAGCGATTCTCATGCCTCATCCTCCCCAGTAGCTGGAATTACAGGTGCGTGCCACCATGCCCAGCTAATTTTTATATTTTTAGTAGAGACAGGGTTTCACCATGTTGGCCAGGCTGGTCTCAAACTCCTTACCTTGAGTCATCACCCAACCTTGGCCTCCCAAAGTCCTGGGATTCTAGGTGTGTACCACAGCACCCAGCCCACAGCATGATTTTTAACAAACAAGAAAGAGCACAGGTTTCCTTCTGGTACAGATTCCTTTCTAAATATATGGCTAGGAATTTGAGTAAATCTAACCTGATAATGTTAATTTTCCTGAAGGACCAGAAGACAAAGTCATTTTCTAACAAAGAGAGGGATGAGGATATGGTGAGGAGCTTTTAAGGGTTATAAATGTTTTGGAATAGCCGTATTGAGAAAGTGAGGAGGGGATTAGGATCTATTCAAAAATTAACAAATAGCACTGTGGCCCAGCTGATTTAGAAAACGTGCTACTGAGGAATGAGCTAGCACAAAAGACAAGTAATAGAAGGCATTCAGAATTTGCAAAATACTGAAATATATGATACAGGCTAAAAACAAGCAGAAAAACAAAGTAAGGGAAAGCACCACAGCAAAAAGCTTTCCTTAGATTGTATTAAGCAGACACTTGGGTGCCAAGTGACCCCATCTCTAGCATAATAATATGAAAGGGAAAAAGTTATGGATTCTTTGTTCCTTGACTTGGAGGGTTCCTCAATCCTAGCAAGCTTCCTAACTTCAGATGCAACTCAAGAGGATTCAAAAATGTTCTAGGAAGCTGTGGCCATTCAGTCACCTTACATTCTTATCTGGTGAAGAGTCTGTTGTTTCTGGTCTACTTGAACTGAAGTGAATGTAACATTAAACTAAATCAGAGTTGTCATTTTTACCAAATTCAAAGACAGATGAGCCCCCTATCACATAGCGTAGTTTAGATGAAGAAATGGAAGTCAAGATATGAAGAAGAGGTGGACAAGAAGACAGTGGGGTGACTAAGTGTTGGAGAATTTCATGAGGTAGAGAAATAGCTATGGGAAGAATGAAGAAGGAGGATTTCCAGGGAAAGAGAAATAGGTGATCAGAATCTGAATTACAGTTTAAGATTTTAGAAAGTGACACTTAATGATACATCCATAGATTTGGGCTGCTGAAATAAGAGACATAAAAAATTACTGGAATTCTGGAGGTCAAAAAGCAAAAACCAAAGTATTTCATATAAATTGACCACATGAATATTGACTCAGGGTGCTAAAACTTCCTTTGTTATTTGGACTTTTTTTTCATTGTAGCCTAGATTTTTCTTAAAACCTAAATAAATGAACAGACAAATACTGAAATGTTTTCTGTTCATCTAATTTCCTCTATTTCCTTTTCAGGAGCAAACCCAGGAGAAATTGTTAGAATTTCTAAGTCAATACAAAAATCCCTTATTCTTGGCCCATGGAAACAATATAGCACACATCTGGAACTCATGATCTTCGTTATTCCATAAGGTATCCTCAACTTATTATTTCTTTTTCTTTCTTTTTCCTCTCTTTACTATTAGCAGATATTTCCTCTGTATTCTGCAGGTTTTACTTTTTCTAGTACTCCAAATCACAAATTTAACCCTTAAGGAGTCATTTTCTACATCAGATTTATGACTGCAATGCTCATATATTCATTATCTATACTTTATTACCACTTACACTTTTTTGCAAAATTAAGAAAAATACCATTTTTATTTACACAAAATATTGTGTTTTGATTTACTTTTTCTTTTACAATCGCACCCAAACTTTTAAGATTTATAACCTCATGTTATTTTCTCATGCCATAGAACTGCTTAAACATATTTTTCTCACATTCTCTGTAGGGAGGCTGAGGGCATATTTGTCACTGATATTTTCTGTCCTTTTCATTGTGTTTGCCATCTCCCTTGCTGTCATTTCAGCATTATTAATAGTGAACTACAGCACCAAAAGAGGTCAGGTCCAATACTCACAAATGTTTTGATTGCATTTCATTTTCCTATGGATCTCTGTCAGAAAATTCATCATTTTTCCAAGAGCTAGATCAAATTCTCCCAACTAATTTAAGCCTTTGCTCTTTCACACTATCCCACATATTATCCTTTTTTTCTGAATGGAACTCCTTATTTCAAGTCTCGTTAATCATTGGACCATTTATTCAATAAACATTGACTACCTCCTGCCTGCCAAACTCTTGCCAGCACTGGGAGTATGAAGGGATCCTCCCTCAAAGAGGTCTCAACTTATTAGGGAAGGCCACTATGTAAACAAGTGTTTGCAATACAACTTAAATTGAGTTATTAAAAACATTGTTGTATCATGGTTATTCATATAATTATGTTTTCTCCCAAGAGATTATGTGCTTCTGTGGGCAGCAATTCTGCCTATTCATTTTGGATCTGAGAGTGTTTAAGCATAGTCTCTGGCCAGTGGTAGAAACTCTCAGTAAGTGATGGGAATCCACAAGGCTCCTCCAATTCTACCCTTAATTAAACTGAATTTATTAACATTTTAAATATAAATCAGCTTTCTAAACATGTTTCATTACCACAGATGCATATATTTCTACCATTATGATTCAGCAACTATACTCCTAGTAGGAATAACTGCTGCAGTGGGTACACCGCCTCTATTTCTTCAGCGCACTTAGTCTGTAACCCATCACCTTCTGCCTCCCAGCCCAGGCTACATGTGCCATTATAGGCTTCCCTTTCATCCAGGCCTCAGATTGTAGATGATTTTCAGGTTGGATATCTTACTCTACCCAAATCTTCCATTTATGGGTCATTAGATTTCTGGTTCTATAACAGCTCTAATGATGGGAAACTCAATTTTTGCTTCTCTGCCTTCATTCTCCCCACACAATGGAATCTACTCAGAATGGCCAGGGAGCCCTGTATCTTCAATAACTGAAGTCATTTGTGGCCTATAGTAGTTAAATGAAAGAAGAAATCATAAGGCAGTTTCTTCCATTTCCAGAAAGTTCTAATTGTTATTCAAGGTTTTAAAATTTCAGAGTAAGAATAGACTTTAAATAATATTCCACTACTTTATAATAAAAGTAAAATCTGCACTTGCTAAAAAATTAAAATGTTACAGATAGCTATCAAAAGACAGTTAGAGAGGAACTTTTCCTTATACTTGGCTACATGAGAAGAGATTTTCCTCTAGGGGCAACACTGATTCTATTTTCTTCTTTACTCGTTCTGCTCTTGAAAAGACAAAGTGGTCTGTATGGATAAATATGGCTGGAATGAATGGCATGTTTAGCTTAATTCTACCCTCCTCTTTCCTCTTTGGGTCTTTCCATCTTCAAGGAACAGGCTGTTCACAGGTTCCCAGGGTGATTCCTCCTGCAGGTGGAAAGGGGCTGGAATGGGGATGGGATTTACCTGTGAGTAAGCTGGTTCTGAGATTCACTTAGCAGATGTATTTGAGCCTCATATTCAACAACTTCCCCCATATGGACTTTTATCTATGTGAAAGTGGGATTTTTTTCCCTTCATTATTATTTTGTTTCTCAAATTACTGATGGCTTTGTATGAAGAAGAAATCTGTTATCTTCCAACAATGATAATAACTCACCCAATCTGAACATTAGTCCTCTTTCTACATTAAGGAATGATATGTATTCCCTTCTAAGAAAACAATACACACATATATATTTATATTTATATCAGTTTTTATATACAGGTAGGATCAGTAGGGTTATATCATTGATTCTGTCCATCATTGTAAAATAATTCATTTTGCATTGAATATTATATCTTACTGAGTTTTCCATAACACTCAATGTATGTCTATAGCACTTTTCTTTTTGTTGTTGTTTTTGAAATGCAATTCCAAACTTGGTTTTGTAAAGCCGACTTGAGGGCAAGTTGTACTAAAAGCCCTTTCCTAGGCTGCTTCTCTTTTCTTATCCTATTGCATATGGCAACTTATCTCTTCTAATTGTCTCTTCCAAACACTTCTTTTAGTATCTCAAACCTTCTCTGAAGCTATAACAATATTATCACTACAAAGATTCCCTCTCCAAATTATTTTATGCCACTCTTCAAGCAATGTCAGAATAAAGGAAGAGCTCTTTAAGAGTAGGGTCCAGATTTTATGAATCTTTGTATTTCTTATCACAAAACAAGAACATGAAAGTATGCATTTCCTTCAGAAAAACCTTCTAGCTCACTTAATACAGTGTTTTCTCATCTCTCTGTACTTTTAAGACAACTTAAATGTAGACAATATTAAAATTGCTGAAAGCATTAATGAACTGAATACAATTGTACCTTAATCACAAGATCTATATTGCATTGGAAGAAACTCTGCATCCATCTGGGAGCTATACACAGCTTTATGCTTTATACTCACAGTCCTATGGGTAGGACCGGGTTTCAGATCCATGTTATTTAACATGGACTATTTCAGGTCCACATTACCTTCAAAGGTGTTCCTGATCTAGGACTGGAACTAAGGATTTAATAATTTCATTCTTCAGTCTAAATAACTTTTCAGTAAGAAGATTCAGTGAGGAGATTTCAGGGAGATAATTTGGAGACTATTTAAGAAGGCTCTGTACAAATAATAACAATAGTAACATTAGCAGACATTTTTAGTGCCATTTAATAATTATGTTTAATTATTACTCCCCCCTTTAGGTGTTTTATATTAATACCCACCCTCTGAGACAGAATTTATTAGTTCTCTTTTTATGAAGGAGACAATGAATCACAAAGACGTATTGCTGCATTAAGAAGGGACATAGTCAAGATTTGCGCTTAGGTTTACCTGGCTCTCCAAATTCATTCTGTTTGTATTGGAGAACAGAACAGCAAGCCGCATGTTAAAAAAAAAAAAAAAATTAAGAAATTATGAAGAGCTCCATGGATAAAAAAGATAATCAGATAAAGTTAAAAGTTTCTGTAATTTATGTGAAATTCCATTTGTTTAGGGCCCAGCAAAGCACTTCACACAACTTGACATTTAATAAAGGTTTGAGGCTTCCCCTTTTCATGCCTATGTCATTATTAGCAGCAAATATTTAAATGCTATTAAATGTTGTTTTTCCAAGGGGGAATATCAAACAACACATTTTAAAAACATTTTTGGAGTAATGTGTAAAGCACTGAGAATACAATCCTGAACATGAAAACTATCCCTGTAGTTAAATAATTTAAAAACTCATGAAAAAGATAGAGGCATAACCTTTAAAAAACACTCCATTTTACAACTGAGATGACAGAGAAGCTCAAAAGAGGCTGTGATCATAAGAGAGTATTTCACAGAAGAGATGGATTTTGAGTTGAACCTGCAAAGAAGAAGAGCATAACAAAGGCATAGGGCAAGGTTGGGAGAACTAAGACATGTTTGAAGGACAATTTGAATACAATAGAGGGAAAATTCATGTTGGGAGTAAAAGAAGAAAGATACAAAGAGGTTGGTGTCCATTTTTATCCCTTTTAGGATTCTCCCTGGTACCCAGAAGATATCTTTCTGCTCTTTCCTCTCTATTGTCCTTGGTATATGACCAAGAAATTTAAACGAATTTGTGTATCAGCATAAGCGAAATACCAGAAAGTTGCTAAGCTATGAAAATTATATAACCCAATTCCAAAGCTAACCACAAATGACTTGTATTTTGTACTATACTCCATTATTCATTCACTCTCTCCCCTCTATTATGAGGATTTCGGAGAACTGCCTGTGTATTACAAATGAAAAGTTTTCCAAAAAGAAAAAAAAAATAGCTGTTTTCTAACAGAACCACTGTATTCTCATACCAGTATCAAGCACCTCTTTTTTTTTTTTTTTTTTTTTTTAGCTTGTCATTTTGTGAAACACTTGCTTATAGAATAGTTTCTTTGTGGCTCACATGTTGTAGTAATTAGGAACAATAGTTTCAGTTCAGGAGAGCGTGAGGTAATAATGGCTTTCTGAAAGTAAACTCAGAAATAGTCACTGTGCCCAGCAGAACTCAAAACAGGCAGGAAAGAACTCAGGAACCACAGAGGCAGAATCCCTACTTTTGTTTTCTCTGTTAATGGGAGGTATGTGTGTATATGTTGGGTTGTGTGTATAGGGATGAGAGTAGATTTCACTTACAAAAGCAAAACTACAACAAAAAACCATTTGTCTTTGTAGAAGGAAAGTTTTACATCAGATTTCTGCTTATCCTGGCATAAGGAGACTGAGAAAAATTTAGTAAAGAATATTTCACAACACTGGCTTTATGCTCTCACCTGATCTCACAAAGCACATTTCAGAAACCTAGATGGGAGCTTTTAACCCCTGGTGTGTATAATCAGAAACATGTTAAAAGGGATATATGGCCCCTTGCCTGACATTCCTTTATTCTATTGACATTGATTGATTTAGGCTTTTGAAGTGTCCTCAGTCTCCAGTCCCAAAATCAAAGACTCCTCTCTGTCTCAGTGTTAAAGCACATTTTTGAATTGAAGAATCATAAACTCCTAACCTTTTTTGCCTCTTTTCCCACATTAAAATTTTAAAATTTCCTCCCTAGGAGGCATTCAACACTGTTGTTGTCAAAATAATTGTTGTATAATTCCTTTTCAGGATTATTTATTGAACTGACATTTCAGTATTTTCCTTCCTCTTTCAGAAATTCATAACAGTGTGCCATGGAGACTCAGATAATACATGGTGCACATTTAAATATACATTTATTGATCTAGCATATTAAATGTTGAGAGGACGAATATACAAAAGGACAATGGCCAGCCTATTTGACAATAGAATTCTGACCTACCAGTTCTAAAGCAACTAGTCCAAAACAGTAAGGACTTGGTCAATAACTGCCAGCTTTCCTAATGTTTGCTTCCTTTCCCAACTCAGAGCCAATCAGAGAAAGCCAAATATGCTCCTCTAACCAATCACAAAAGGTGCCCACTTCCACTGCACCTACCATCAGCTTCCCCAATGTTAACTATCTCCACACTGCATTCCTGAATACTTCCTGTTTTTTATTATAAAGCTTCCCCACTCCCTGGCCTGACTTTGAATTTACATCAAATTCAAGTGATGGTGGCTGACTGCCATAATATAGCAAACTCTGAATACATAGCCTCTGTTTTTTCTCACTTGAGTTTTCTTTGTTTATGGCCAGAATGTTGTTAACTTAAGGACCTGAACCTATAAGGTCAAACAGCCCTGTAGTTACCTTAGAACACATATTACATCTTGAAAATAACTTTCAGACAGCAAACATGCATTGCTCTTGTCTATCTGCCTTAGAAACAATTAGACTAAAGGTAGTAAGAAATAGAAGCCAAGTTATATTGTTACTCTAACTTTTGTTGTTGATTTCTACTTAAATCTTTTTTTATTTTTTTCTATTTTGATAAGTTTTGGGGAAACAGGTGGTGTTTGGTCACATAAATAAGTTCTTTAGTAGTGATTTCTGAGATTTGGGTGTACCCATCACTCAAGCATTGTACACTGTATCCAATGTGTAGTCTTTGATCCCTCACCCTTCTCCTACCCTTTCTCCCAAGTCCCCAAAGTTCACTGTGTCATTCTTATGCCTTTACATCCTCACAGCTTACATACTTAGCAGCTGGCAGAACCCCCACATTGGCTCCCTGACTGGTAGTGTGAGAGTTTTTATGGTGAGAAAGGCCAAATGGAAGCCGTTAGAGCTGCCTCTACCTAGAAAAATAGTAAATCAAACAATATCGCATCCCTGGAGGGATTGTGAAGATTAGCGCCACCAGCAAGGACTTGAAAGACACAGGGGTAATGATTCCCACCATATCCCTGTTCAACTCTCCCATTTGGCCTATGCAGAGAAGACAGATGGTTCTTGGAGATTGACGCTGAATTATTGTAAGCTTAACCAAGTGGTGACTCCAATTGCAGCTGCTGTACCAGATGTGGTTTCATTGCTTGAGCAAATTAACACATCTCCTGGTACCTGGTATGCATCCATTGACTTGGCAAATGCCTTTTTTCTCTATTACTGTCCATAAGACCCACCGAAGCAATTTGCCTTCAGCTGGCAAGGCCAGCAATATACCTCTACTGTCCTACCTCGGGGATATATCAACTCGCCAGCTTTGTGTCATAATCTTATTCGGAGAGACCTTCATCACTTTTTGCTTCTGCAAAATATCACACTGGTACATTACAATGATAACATTATGCTGATTGGATCCAGTGAGTGAGAAGCAGCAAACACACAGGATGTATTGGTGAGACATTCTCATGCCAGAGGATGAGAAATAAATCTGACTAAAATTCAGGGAACTTCTACCTCAGTAAAATTTCTAGGTGTCCACTGGTGTGGGGCCTGTGGAAATATTCCTTCTAAGGTAAAGGATAAGTTGCTGCATTTGGCTCCTCCTGCAACCAAGAGGCACAACACCTAGTGGGCCTATTTGGATTTTGGAGGCAACACATTCCTCATTTGGGTTTGTTACTCTTGCCCATTTATCGAGTGACCTGAAAGGCCGCCAGTTTTTAGTGGGGTCCAGAATAGGAGAAGGCTTTACAACAGGTCCAGATTACTGTGCAAGCCTCTCTGCCACTTGGGCCTTATGACCCAGCAGATCCAATGGTGCTTGAGATGGCAGTGGCAGATAAGGATGCTGTTTGGAGCCTTTGGCAGGATCCCATAGGTGAATCACAGTAGAGTCCTCTAGGATTTTGGAGCAAGGCCCTGGCATTTTCTGCAGAAAACTACTCTCTTTTTGAGAGGCAACTCTTGGCCTGTGACAGGGCTTTGGTGGAAACTGAATGTTTGAGTATGGGTCATCAAGTCACCATGCAAACTGAACTGTCCATTATAAACTGGGTTCTCTATGACTCATTTAGCCATTAAGTGGGTCATGCACAGCAGCATTCCATCATCAATTGGAAGTGGTATATACATGATTGGGCTTGAGCAGGTCCTGAAGGCACAAGTAAGTTACATGAGGAAGTGGCTCATAGGCTCATGGTATCCACTCCTGACACCCTGCCTTCTCTCCCTCAGCTTGCATCAGTGGCCTCATAGGGAGTTTCCTATGATCAGTTGCAGAGGAAGAGAAGACTAGGGTCTTGTTTGCAGATGGTTCTGCACAATATGCAGGCACCACCCAAAAGTGGACAGCTGCGGCACTACAGCCCCTTCCTAGAACATCCCTGAAGGACAGCGGTGAAGGGAAATTTTCCCTGAAGCAGAACTTCAAGCAGTGCAGTACACCTGGTTGTGCACTTTGCATGGAAGGAGAAATGGCCAGATGTGCAATTATATACTGATGTGTGGGCTGTAGCCAGTGGTTTGGCTGGATGGTCAGAGACTTGGAATAAGCATGACTGGAAAAAGTGGTGACAAAGAAATTTAGGGAAGAGATATGTGGATGGACATCTCTAAGTGGCCAAAAATTGTGATAATATTTGTGTCCCATGTGAGTGCTCACGAACGGGTGACCTCAGAGGAGGAGGAGGTTAATAATCAAGTGGATATGATGACCTGTTCTGTGGACACCACTCAGCCTCTCTCCCCAGCCACCCCTCTCATCACCCAATGGGCCCATGAACAAAGTGGCCATTGTGGCAGGGATGGAGGTTATGCATGGGCTCAGCAACATGGATTTTCACTCACAAAGGCTGAGCTGGCTATGACCACTGCTGAGCACCCAATTTGCCAGCAGCGGAGACCAACACTGAGCCCTTGATATGGTACCATTTCTCAGGGTGATCAGCCAGCTACCTGGCGACAGGTTGATTATATTGAACTTCTTCCATCATGGAAATGGCAGGGGTTAGTCCTCATTGGAATAGACACTTACTCTGGATATGGGTTTGCCTATCCTGCATGCAATGCTTCTGCCAAGACTACCATCCATGGACTCACAGAATGCCTTATCCACCGTCATGGTATTCCACACAGCATTGCCTCTGACCAAGGCACTCGCTTTACACCTAAAGAAGTGTGGCAGTGGGTTTATGCTCATGGAATTCACTGGTCTTACCACGTTCCCCATCATCCTGAAGCAGCTAGATTGATAGAACAGTGGAATGGCCTTTTGAAGTCATAATTACAATGCCAACTAGGTGACAATACTTTGCAGGGCTTGGGCAAAGTTCTCCAGAAGGCCTATATTCTCAAAAGCACCATCTAATATCTGGTACTGTTTCTCCCATAGCCAGAATTCATGGAGCCAGAAATCAAGTGGTGGAAGTGGAAGTGGCACCACATGGCATCCCCCTAGTGATCCACTAGCAAAATTTTCATTTCCTGTTCCCACGACATTACTCTCTGCTGCCCTAGAGGTCTTAGTTCCAAAGAGAGGAATAATGCCACACAGTGTACACAGCTTAGCTCCCACTTGTGAGTGACAACATACGATGTTTGTTTCCCCATTCCTGAGTTACTTCACTTGGAATAATAGTCTCCCATTCCATCCAGGTTGCTGTGAATGTCATTATTTCATCCCTTTTTATGGCTGAGTAGTATTCCATCATATATATATTTATATATAATATATATTCATATATATTATATATATTTATATATTATATATATTCATATATATTATATATATTTATATATTATATATATTCATATATATTATATATATTTATATATTATATATATTCATATATATTATATATATTTATATATTATATATATTTATATATATATAACATTTTCTTTATCCACTCATTGATTGATGGGCATTTGGGCTGGTTCAATATTTTTGTGATTGTAAATTGTGCTGCTATAAACATGCATGTGCCAGTATTTTTCTCATATAATGACTTCTTTTCCTCTAGGTAGATACCTAGTAATGGCACCGCTGGATCAAACAGTAGATCTATTTTTAGTTCTTTAAGGAATCTCCACACTGTTTTCCATAATGGTTGTACTAGTTTACATTCCCACCAACAGTGTAAAAGTGTTCCCTTTCACCATATCCATGCCAATGCCTGTTTTTTAAAATTTTTTTGATTACGGCCATTCTTGCAGGAGCAAAGTGGTATCCCATTGTGGTTTTGATATGCATTTCCCTGATAATTAGTGAGGCTGAGCATTTTTCCATATGCTTGTTAGCCATTTGTATATCTTCTTTTGAGAATTGTGTATTCATGTCTTTAGGCCACTTTTTGATGGGATTGTTTTTTCTTGCTGATTTGTTTGAGTTCCTTGTAGATTCTGGATATTAGTGGACAGACATACAGATTGTGAAGATTTTTTCCCACTCTGTGGGTTGTCTGATAACTCTACTGATTAGTTATTTTGCTGTGCAGAAGTTTTTTATTTTAATTAAGTCCAATCTATTTATCTTTGTTTTTGTTGCATTTGCTTTTGAGTTCTTGGTCATAAAGTCTTTACCTAAGCCAATGTCTAGAAGCGTTTTTCCAGTGTTATCTTGTAGAATTTTTACAGTTTCAGGTCTTTGATTTAGGCCTATTATCCATCTTGAGTTGATTTTTGTAATGGGTGAGAGATGAGGATCTAGTTTCATTCTCCTACATGTGGCTTGCCAATTATCCCAACACCATTTGTTGAATAGGGTGTTCTTTTCCCACTTTATGTTTTTGTTTGCTTTGTTGAAGATCAGTTGGCTGTAAGTATTTGGCTTTATTTCTGGGTTCTCTATTGGTCTATGTGCCTATTTTTATACCACTACCATGCTGTTTTGGTGACTATGGCCTCATAATATAATTTGAAGTTGGGTAATGTAATGTTTCCAGATTTGTTCTTTTTGCTTAGTCTTGCTTTGGCTATGTGGGCTCTGTTTTGTTTCCATATGAGTTTTAGGATTGTTTTTTCTAGTTTTGTAAAGGATGATAGTGGTAATTTGACGGGAATTGGATTGAATTTGTAGACTGCTTTTGGCAATATCATTTTTGCAATATCGATTCTACTCTTCCGTGAGCATGGGATGTGTTTGCATTTGTTTGTGTCATCTATGATTTCTTTCAGCAGTGTTTTTTTACTTTTTCTTGTATAGATCTTTCAAGGAAAGTCCTTGGTTAGGTATATTTCTAAGTATTTTATTTTTATTTTTGCAGCTGTTGTAAAATTTGTTGTGTTCTTGATTTGATTCTCAGCTTTTGTTGCTCTTGGTGTATAGCAGAGCTACTAATTTCTGTACATTAATTTTATATCCTGAAACTTTACTGAACTTGTTTACCAGTTCTAGGAGGTTTTTTTTTTTTGATGACGATTCTTTATGATTTTCTAGGTATACAGTCATATCTCAGCAAACAGCAATAGTTTGAGTTCCTCTTTACCAATTTGGATACCTTTTACTTCTTTTTCTGACCTGATTGCTCTGGCTAGGACTTCCAGTATTATGTTGATTAGAAGTGGTGAAAGTGGGCATCCTTTTCTTGTTTCAGTTCTCAGGAAGAATGCTTTCAACTTTTTCCACTCAGTATAATGTTGGCTGTGGTCTTGTCATAGATGGCTTTTATTACCTTAAGGTATGTCCCGTCTATGCTGATTTTACTGAGGTTTTTAATCACAAAGGGATGATGGATTTTGTCAAATGCTTTTTCTGCATCTATTGAGATGATCGTGTGTTTTTGTTTTTAATTCTCTTTATGTGGTGTATCACATTTATTGGCTTGTGGATGTTGAACCATCCCTGCATCTCTAGTATGAAATCTACTTGATCATGGTGGCTTATCTTTTTTGACATGCTTTTGGATTTGTTTAGCTAGCATTTTTTTGAGAGTTTTTGCATCTATGTTCATCAGGGATATTGGTCTGTAGTTTTCTTTTTTTATTTTGTTATGCTTTTTCCCGGTTTTGGTATTAGGGTGATATTGGCTTCATAGAGTGATTTAGAGAGGATTCCCTCTTTCTCTATCCTGTGGAATAGTGTCAATAGGATTAGTACCAATTCTTTTTGAATGTCTTAGAGAATTCAGCTGTGAATCTGTCTGGTTCTGGTCTTTGTTGGCAATTTTTAAATTAGCATTTTAATTTTACTGCTTGTTATTTGTCTGTTCAGAGTTTCTTTATGTTCCTAGAGGAAGATATATATCAACCCTTCTAGGGGGGTTGTATATTTCCAGGAATTTATCCGTCTCCTCTGTGTTTTCTAGTTAAAGGTGTTCATAGTGGCCTTGAATGATCTTTTATATTTCCATGGTACCAGTAGTAATATCTTCCATTTCATTTCTATAATAATTGAGCTTATTTGGATGTTCTCTCTTCTTGGTTGATCTCCCTAATAGTCTATTAATTTTGTTTATCTTTTCAAAGAACCAGCTTTTTGTTTCATTTATTTTTTGTATTTTTGTTTGTTTGTTTCAATTTCATTTAGTTCTGCTCTGCTCTTTGTTATTTCTTTTCTTCTGCTGAGTTTGGGTTTGGATTGTTCTTGTTTCTTCAGTTCCATGTGGTGTGAGCTTAGATTGTCTATTTGTGCCTTTCAGACTTTTTGATGTAGGTATTTAATGCTATGAACTTTCCTCTTAGCACTGCTTTTGTGTATGCCAGAGGATTTGATAGGCTGTGTTGCTATTATCATTCAGTTGAAAAAAAACTTTAGATTTCCATCTTAATTCTATTGTTGACCCCACAATCGTTTAGGAGCAGGTTATTTAATTTCCATGTATTTATATGGTTTTGAGGGTTGCTTTTGGAGTTGATTTCCAATTTTATTTCACTGTGGTCTGAGAGAGTACTTGATATAATTTCAGTTTTCTTAAATGTACCAAGACTTGTTTTGTGGTCTTTCGTATGGTCTATCTTGGATAATGTTCCATGTGCTAATGAAACAAATGTATATTCTGCAGTTCTTGGGTAGAATGTTCTGTAAATATCTGTTAAGTCCATTTGTTCTAGGGTATAGTTTACGTCCATTGTTTCTTTGTTGACTTACTGTCTTGATGACCTGTCTAGTGCTATCAGTGGAGTATTGAAATCCCTTAATATTTATTATTGCATTGCTGTCTATCTCATTTCTTAGGTCTAGTAGTAATTGTTTTATAAATTTGGGAGCTCCAGTGTTAGGTGCATATATATTTAGGATCATGATTTTTTTTGTTGGACAAGGCCTTTTATCATTAGATAATGTCCTTCTTTGTCTTTTTAAACTGCTGTTGCTTTAAAGTTTGTTTTGTCTAATATAAGAATAGCTACTCCTGCTCACTTTTGTTGTCCATTGCATAGAAGAACTTTTTCCACCACTTTAGCTTAAGTTTATGTGAGTTCTTATCTGTCAGGTGAGTCTCCTGAAGATAGCAGAGACTTGATTGGTGAATTCTTATCCATTCTGCCATTCTGTATCTTTTAAGTGGAACGTTTATGCCATTTACATTCAATGTTAGTATTGAGGTGAGGTACTATTATATTCATCCTGTTACTTGTTGCCTAAATACCTTTTTTCTCATTGTGTTATTATTAGATAGGTCCTGTGAGATTTATGCTTTAAGGAAGTTATATTTTTGTGTATTTCAAGGATTTATTTCAAAATTTAGAGCTTTTTCATTTATTTGTTTTTAACACTTCTTGTAGTGTTGTTGGTAGTGGTGAATTCTCTCCGCATGTGTTTGTCTGGAAAAGACCATATCTTTCCTTCATTTATGAAGCTTAGTTTTGCTGGATACAAAATTCTTGGCCTAGTATTGTTTTGGAGGCTAAAAATAGAACCCCAATACCTTCTCACTTGTAGGGATGATAGGAGGAAATGTGAGCTCCTGAGAATAATAATTAGGCAAATTTAGGACCATGGCCTTATATCTGGAGAAATCATTCAAAGACTTTTTTTTTTAGTGAAGTGCATAATAAAAAATACTATTCCCATAATAAAGAATATTTTGAGTCCCTTCAAAATGAATATTATGGAAATAACTAAACAGTGATGTTAGACTTTCCATAGTGGTTACATTATAACGTTGTTCCTTCTTCTACTACATCCCTCCCTAAGAAACCTGAAGTTTCCCCAAGGAAGTTATATTGAATGATTTTGTTGAGGAGGTAGACAAAGAAGGAATAATGAAGCTAGAGATCAGTTTTTAATAAGTAGAAAATTATTTAATTACTAACACTCTAGAATTAGATATATTTCTGGAGCAAGGAGAAGAGTTGAAGGGTAATACAGAAGGGGTAATTTTTTTTAATCTTAAAAAAACAAAACAGAATATCTGTTGAAAATCTACTTTCTGAAAAATCTAACTTGGTTAATGTGCTATATATTTCTGTATCATTATGATATTCTTCAAAATATTAAACTCAAATATAACAACTTGATAGGAAAAGAAAGTAATTAAACTGTACTTAAATTTAGAGAGAAAAAAAGAATTAATGGAAGTTTATCAGGAATCACCAGAATACTGCTCAAAACTTGGCTCCTTTCAGTTCAGATAAATGAAACACTTTACCAGCTATCTAAAATGAAAAAAAAACATCAACTGAGATGGTTTCTTTTATAATTCTGTGCACAAAATGAACTGCTTTTTAAAAAAATTATTCTCCTATGAAGTAGCTATTTTTCACTTCTCTTTTCTCGCCATAGTCTTAAAACACCACCTTGGAGAAAAGAAAAAAAATCAGTTTAGCACACCATCAGTTAGCACACCAGATACACGGTTAGTCTTTCATGAGCATTACACTTTCCTGAGAAAGTTTCTTCATCCCTCTATAGTAAAATAAATAAATAAATAACAAAAATAAAAATACCTACAAGGCTATTTTCACCAATTGGCTTGCAAAGGTGTTTATATCCTTAGATTTACAGGTTCTCACCATTGTAAAAAAAAAAAAAAAAATGAAAGAAAATACATAAATTCAAAAATAGTTCAAAATTATTTTTACAGGTAGGAAAAAAAGAATGCTTATCTAGATAAATATAATGTTATTATTTTCCTAAATTACATCTTTGAGTTCATATAAAGAAGTTTATGGAAGAATAGCAGTAGGTTACGGAAACATTTGATTCAAGTTTTATGTTAGAAATAAATTTTTGGTGCCACAAAAGAAATAGCACTTCAAACATAAATTTAATTTCCTCAGCAAGACAATTTCATTTCTATAGAAGGGCGTGACTCATGGATGGAGCAGTGGCGAGAGCACATCTGAACAAGGGAGGGGAAGGTGTTTTTATTCCTGACGCAGGTAGCCCCTACTTCTGTTTCATTCCCCTATTGGCTAGGGTTGGACCACACAGTCTAAACTTATTCTGATTGGCTATTTTAAAGAGAGCAGGGGTACAAGTCAGAGTGGCAGGGTAAGTAGTTTAGTGGGAAGGATGGTTACAGAACAGGTGACTCAGGATGATTCAGGATGGAGCAGATGACCAGGGGTGACACAGGACAGAGCAGTGACCAGGGGTGACTCAAGACAGAGCAGGTGATAGAGACTAGGAGGAGGTTGTTTATTAAAACTAGGGGCAAGGAGAAGAAGAGAATGAGGAAGTTAAACTTTAACATGAAGAACAAACAGAAGAGCTGACCATACTGATACATTGGTTCTTTGGAGAGGATCTCAGAAATCATTGTACTTAATTTACAGGGTAAAACCTTTAAAGAGGAATTTATTATATCCTACATTCTATAATAGAAATATTGAATAAAAAGACATTTGGTTTACTGCAAAATATTCTAGGCAAAGAGAATACCATGTACAAAGACATAATAGAGAATAATTCTAAGGCATGGTTAGAAAGCTATGAATTACAGGACAGGCATGGTGGCTCACACCTCTAATCCCAACACTTGGGGAGGAGGAGGTAGCAGGATCTCTTGAGGCCACAATTTTGAGACCAGCCTGAGCAACATAGTGAAATTCTATTCTCTACAAAAAATGAAACAAAATAAATTAGCTGGGCACACCTGTAGTCCCAGCTACTGGGGAGGCTAAAGTGGGAGGATGACTTGAACCCAGGAAATCGAGGTTGCAGTGAGCCATGATTGTGCCACTGTACTCCAGCCTGGGCAACAGACCAAGACACTGTCTCAAAAAAAAAAAAAAAGCTATGAATTATATTAATTACAGATGGTCCTCAACTTGCAATGGGAATAAATCCTGATAAGCCGACTGTAAATTGAAAATATTATAAGTTGAAAACATCTTAAATTGAAAATATATTTAATGCACTCAAATTACTAAGCATTATAGCTTAGCCTAACCTCCCTTAAACATGCTGGGAATACTTATATTAGCCTACATTTGGGCAAAATCATCATTCAATTTATTGAACTCTGTACTGAAAGTAGAAAGCAGAATTGTTGTATGGGCATTCATGTATAGCTTCTACTGAATGCATATCAAAAAATTGTAAGTCAAACTATTGTTATTTGAGGATGTTTGTATTTGATATAGAGAATGGCTTGTACCAAGAACCCCCAATAACAGTGAAAACAGGATTTGATCCAACAGGACCTTAATATGTCATGGTAATATGAATGAATTTTGTTCTGGACAGAAAAAAATAGAGAAGTCTTTGAAAGTTTTAAAAAGAAAAGCACTATGACTGATGAAAATGTTAAAAAATCCTTTCAGTACTAGAAGACATTAGAAGGAAATGAGACTGAAAGTGGGAGGTTAGTTGAGAGGTTTTTCAATAATATGTGTGTGGAATTATAAGGACTTTAACTAAAAGAATAGTAGAGAGATAAAGAAAAGGTGACATTTAAAGGTGACATTTAAGTAATGATAAGATGTGATACACCCATCTTTCTGATAAATTGGTTGTAAGAAGTAAAAAGAGACTGAGAAAACTAGAATAACTCAACTTTCTGCCTTGAGAAACTAGTTGGATGATCATACTTGGGAAAGGTGTTGAGTTTCATTCTGAACACAAGAATCACAGTGCCTGTGAAGAACCGAGTAGAAATATCTGGTGGATAATCAGACATATGAACTAAGGGGAAAAAACCTGCGTTGGAGATTGAGTGGGCAGTCATTAATATATCTGTGGTTGGGAAGAGTAATGGGAATGAATGAAATTATCCATCAAGAGGATGTAAAATAAAAAGGAGCCACATTCATGAAGGCAGATGAAGAAGCAGTAATGAAAGAATTTGATTGGGAAGCAATGAAGAACAGCTAGGAAAAAAGTAATATGTCAGTTGCTACACATAGGTCAAATAAGATAAAGTTAAAAGTTTTCATTGGTTTTAAGAAGTTGAATTTGGCCACAGCAGTTTCACTAGAGATTGTAGAGGGCTAAAGTGTTAAGTGAGGAAGTTGAGACATTGAGTGGAAGCTTTTCTACCAAACATGGACTACAGTGTAGGCAGTTTAAAGCATGGACATTGGATACAGATTGCTTAGATTTGGATCTCGGCTCTGCGTTTAACTGACCGACTTTGTGAAAGTTATATGACTGCACTGTGTTTCAGTTTCCTCATCTGTAAAAAGTAATACTGTAGCACTTAATTAAGAGAATCAAACAGATTGATATATATGGAATGTTTACAACAATGCCAGAGTACTAGTAAGTACTCAGTGAGCATTAGAGTTGTTATTAAGTAATGTGGCTAAAAAATATAAAAGAGTTTAGAGTGACAAATGGAATAAAGTTAAAAACGTGGGCTTTTTATTTTATTTTATTTTTTTACCATTTTGTTGTTGTTACTCTTGTATAAATTGGAAGGGACTTGATGTAAAAGTCATCAGTAGGAAAAACAAAATAGGTAGAGACAGAAAAAAGATGATTAAAGAGGAAATTTAAGTTGGTGGAAGTGGATGGGATTTATTGCTGAGTGAAAATGATGATCTTTAAAAACTAGAATATCCTTCACCTGAGATGGGGAGGAGGGAGAGATGGATGGAAAGAGAAGGGAATATGTTGAAATATGGATATATAGGAAATTAAACTTCCACTCATGTGGCAGGCTGTATTGTTCAGACAGTGTAATGGGTAAAACAAGGACAGAGAAGGGGCCACAGTAGTCAGAAGACTTAATTGTATATGCTAATGTTGGAGAACAAAAATTATCAGAGAAAGTTTCTATAAAATTTAGAAATTCGAGGGGGAAAAAAAAGAGTAGGTTAAAGCTTCCAGATGAAAAGGGTGGCTTAGTTAAGAAGTACCTTGGTCCTCTTCTTCCCTCTGAGAGGACAGAGGGAGAAGTTGCTTATTTGTGTATTCATTAGGGAACATTATCTATCAAACATACAAACCCATATACATATGAGAGCTGTTTTCTGATCTATTCTAATTGATGAAAGCCTCTTGCTAAATGCTTCTCTGCCTTAATTTCAGCAATTTTACATGTGTTCCTAGGTTTTAATTAAACATTGTTATTGGCCGGGCACGGTGGCTCACGCCTGTAATCCCAGCACTTTGGGAGGCCGAGGTGGGTGGATCACCTGAGTTCGGTAGTTCTAGACCAGCCTGACCAACATGGAGAAACCCCGTCTCTACTGAAAATACAAAATTAGCCGGGTGTGGTGGCACATGCCTGTAACCCCAGCTACTCGGGAGGCTGAGGCAGGAGAATTGCTTGAACCTGGGAGGCAGAGGTTGCAGTGAGCCGAAATCGTGCCATTGCACTCCAGCCTGGGCAAAAAGAGTGAAACTCTGTTTCCAAAAAAGAAAAAAAAAAAAACATTGTTTTTATACTCACTCCTAAACCCATCTAATTTTTGCTCTTCTTGTTTCTGATATCTCTTCCAGCAAAGACCATTAAATCTTGTTTTTCTTTTCCTAATAACTTGTGTCAATTCTGGAGCATGTATGGTTTTTCTGCTGATTTGCTTATAGATACCTTTTTTTGTAGTTAACCATTAGATATTTTGTAGCTATAATTGAAGGAGAAGACTGGCCCCTATTAATTATTACATATAAGCTTTGCTTTCTTCATGACATGCATAAGATTTTATTCTGAGGTTACATACATCTCTATGTTATTTCTACAGAAAGAGAGAAAAAGCTTGAGGCAGTACAAAAGATTCTCATTTTATTAGACATATTAACAACATACAGAAATATTTGTATTCCCCTGGTATGTCTTACTGACTTATGCTATTCTTGGTAACTTGGCAAAATCTTTGAAATAGAGAACATTAATTTTCACCTTTGATATGCCTTGAAAGAAATCTTAGGCAATTGTTTGAATACCAAAACAGCTCTGTGAAGAGCTGCGCATTCAAGGTGAGAAAACACTTTTTAACAATATTTTTTGGTGGTAACATTATAGAGGCAGCTAAGAAACATACGGTTGTCATCACATAGCAATCTAGAAAAGAAAGAGGACAGACTATAACAACCAGATTATTTATTCAAGGACATATATTAACACTTCAAATGCTATGCAAACAAGTTTGCATGTGGGGGTGGGGGTTGCGGAGGAGTTTCCCAAAGCCATGATTAGAATTATTTCCTAAGGAGGTAAAGTTTGAATCAGGTAGTAACTGAAAAAAGAGTAGAGTATGAATTGATAGATAATGAGCGACAAAAAGACAAAGAAGCAAGAAAAACGAGTAAGAGAGAGGCAGAGTAGATTTGCTTTTTTGAATGCTATAGTAGGTGATATGATGGCTCAAGAAAATAAAATAAAATAAAGAAATTTAAATAAGGGGCTTGATTATCTGTCTCAGATATATTGGGCAAAGGAAATCCTTTCTTAGTTTTAGTATATAGATATGAGTGATCAAAATGGAATTTGCGGGAAATGATTCTCACTTTAAGAATAGGATGGATTGAAAGGAGGATAAGTTAGACACTAAGAAAGTGAAATACTAGGTGGTAGATATCAAATGGCTGAAAACTAATTAGGATTGAGCTAGCAAAATATCAAGAAAAAGAATGAAGAACATTGTATCTGATATTTATCAACAGATAGACAATGTTGGGTGATGAATGAAAGATGGTGATAAAATTAAAAAAAAGTATTCAATCATTTATTCCTTCCTTAAGTCTATCACTTATTTCTTCATTTTTCCAAGCATTCATTAAGACATTTTAGATTACAATAAAGAGAAAAAGAATCAGATTGCTGACCCCTGACTACTTATAAGTTTCTTTCAAATAGCTTAATGTGAAGCTCAGATTCTTCATCTACACTCTGTTTAAAATAAAATTTTCTCATCCATGAGGATCAAATTAGATATTTATAGTCAACAAAGCCCTTTCACTTCTAACTGAAAGGTACCCAGTCAACATATGTAAACCCTAGTTTTCATGTAGATAACATAGGTAAAATGTTATAAAAAGTATAAGGTCCCATATAAAGTTACTATGTATTATTCTTGTTATTTCATTACATACTTTGGGCACAGCATGTCAGTAAGTTCCCAAGGGAAAGTAAAGGTATGATAAAATGTATTTGCTGCATTCCAAAAGAAATGTGACTAAAATAAAGAGGAGAATAGAGGCATAAAAGCAACACATGATTAAAGCCTTATCATCTAGGGTCCTTGGAAAGACCATATGGAGGAGTTAGGATTTGAATTAGGGATTAAAATCTGAATAGGATTTAGTTAGGTAGATACATTGTAAAATATGATGACCTTGCAGGTTTTCCCTCAATGCCTTCAGAGAAGGGCTTGTTTACCTTTAAAAAAAATTTCATTTTCAAGTCTAATCAAACACTGCATCTAAACCATTCTAGAATGTTTCAAAGGTAACAAAAATTGATCATTGGGTGAGGTTCAACCTAATATAGCTGTAGCTAGTCAAAGACTTAAATCAAAGGTGGGAAAAGATCTTTGAGTCACCCAAGTTAAAGACAGAATCATAAAGGGAAGGCTTCATTTGAAATAGAATGCAAAATTTCCAACAGAACTGTCACAATGAATGTTCTTAGCATGAGGTAAATTGCACTTTAAGTCGTAAAACATAAATAAGGACATGGTGTAACTATAAAAGTTTCACCGTAAGAAAATTAGTGTTCAACTTTTAATTAAGAATGATTTCAAAAATGCTTGCTGTCTATGAAAGCAAGTTTTCCACTTGCCCCAATAGCATTGTTATCCAATGTACCGTTTGGAGGTTATGTAAGAACTTATCATGGGAGCTCAGTCTCATTGTGTTGCTGAGCAACAACTTCCCCTTTCATACATCTGACAACTTTGCTGGCAGGAAAACTTTGTTTAAGATTGAACTTCACTGTTTTTCATTTAAAAAGAAATTGGGAGACCAATAAACTGTTCTTTGTTCTCTACTGAGTTATTGTTATAGTACTTAGTTAGCTATTTTCTCTCTGTTGATACTGCAAGGAGAATATTTCTTTTTATGAAATCATGACTAGAATTTAATTAATTAATTAATTTTTTTTTTTCGAGACGGAGTCTCACTCTGTCACCAGGCAGGAGTGCAGTGGTGTGATCTCGGCTCACTGCAACCTCAGCCTCCCGGGTTCAAGTGATTCTCCTGCCTCAGCTTTCAGAGTAGCTGGAACTACAGGCGTGCGCCACCACGCCCAGCTAGTTTTTGTATTTTTAGTAGAGATGGGTTTTCACCATGTTGGCCAGGATGGTCTTGATCTCTTGACCTCATGATCCGCCTGCCTCAGCCTCCCAAAGTGCTGGGATTACAGGCGTTAGCCACCATGCCCAACCAGAATTTAATATTTTTAAGTAACAGTATTTTTGGTTTGTTTAAAAATAAAGGAAAATTTTCTTCTAAAATAAGAAGTCCATTATAATATAGTTCAAGTATGGAGTGAATAACACAATTCTTCTTAGCTAGTAATGAGCACTAAAATGTATTTGGTACTTACTACATGCTGTGTATTGTGTTAGGCATATTATTTTCATTATTTCAGGTTTCTGCTTAAATGTCACCTTATCAGAGAACACTAGTCTGTCCACCTTAACTATTTAAAATAGCACACTCCTCCACTCATAATTATTGGTCCCTTTACCTATCTTGCTTTGTTCAAAGGACTCTTTTTTACCACCGAATATATTATATGTTTAGCTGTTAAACTGCTTGTCATATGCTTACTCCCTCTAGAACTATGCTGTCCCATACAGTAACCACTGGACACATGTGGATATCAAACTTTTCTATAGAGTCTTTATAATAATAAAAGCAATAGGTACATCATGCTGCCTCAGTCAGTTTGGGATACTATAATGAAAAACCCATAATCTAGGTGGATTAAAATGAACAGAAATTTAATTTTCACAGTTTGGGAGACTAGGAAGTCTAAAACTCAAGGCACCAGCAGACTCAGCGTCTGGTAAGGTTATGCTTTCTGGCGTCTAAATAGGCATTCTTCATCTGTCCTCACTTGACAGAAGAGGCAAACAACTTCCCTCAGTTCTCTTTCATGAGGGCACTCATGCCATTCATAAGGAAAAAGCCCTCTTGACCTAATCCCCTTGCAAAGGCCCCACCTCCTAACACTATCACCTTTGACGTTAGTTTCAATACATGAATTTTGGGGGTATACAAACATTCAGATCATATCGCACACAGCATAATACTAGTGAAATGGATGCATGTTAGTTTAAAAGTTAGTTCCATTATATGAACATGGTTAATAATAATAAAGTTTATGATTTCAGTGTCTAAGTATGCCAGTTTTGTAACCCATGATTGCATAAATTCTGCTAAAAGATTTCTTATTTGGGAGGTGTAAGGCAACATCTAACTCCAGTAAGACTCACTTGAGGTAGTAATAATGAACTGGCTTCCAAAATCTTTGAAATTTATTGCCTCATTTGTGTAAAGATATTAAGAGACTAGGAGTTGTTAGGAGGAATTCATTTTCATCAATCCACAAGATCCACAACTTTAATAATTAAGCCATTTCTACAGTCTTTTCAAACTACATTTTCAATTTTATTTATCCATGTTCTCCCTAGAGGAATATAGAATATACTCTTTATATACTAATATTCAGACTATGAAAAGAACAGAGATCACTTGAGCCTGGTAAACCCTCCCTGACAGCACATCCTGTTCCTACTCCTGCCCACCGTCATTGTAGACAAAATTCTTTAATCAGAACTGACAGTTATAGTCTTGTGAACAGTGACTCTCAAACACTCAGATGAGCAGAGAGAGGAAATGTCACCAGATATTTGGTTCCCAGGAAAAGAAATTAGCCACAAACTTAATAGACCAAAGAACTAATACTGTTGAGAGAGAAGAACAAACACAAAGTTAAATTAAGTATAATGTGTTTAATGAGGTTTTATGAGGTTTTGAGTAGATATTAAATCCATGAAAAAGAAACAACTAGAGACAAAGGAATTTAAAATATAATTTTTAAAGTCTCATTAGTTGTCTTCGATTATAAAAATAGATACAGCTAAGAAAGAAGTTATAACTGGAAATGAACATGAAAGGTTTCCACAGTATGAGGTGCAAATGTATAATCTGACAGTAAAAGGCTATATATATGAAGAAAAAAAATCAGAAGTTTTGAAATCTATCTAGAAGCATATACAGAATTCAAAACAGAGAATGAGCAAAGGCAAATAATAAAATGGAAAAATTATTTAGTGGCTATGTGGTAATTTAGACAGAAATGCTTTTCAAATATGTGAATAGGGGTTTAAAAAGACGCCAACATATGTAGGATAAATGTCAGAGCAACAGGAATAAAACTGAAAATTTAAAAGCTGCTATGGGGGAATAAAAATATTGAAACCAATAATAAGTAAAATATGTCCACAAAGGAATAAAAAACACAGTAGCGTGAAAAGCCTATTGATCACATTTGTGATAGAAGATAATGGAGCAGCAACTTCAAATTCCAAGGTTGAAATTATTTTGACCATAAAATACATATTCAACTAAATTAGTGCAGTGACAAAACAAAGAAATCGTTAAATATGTGAGGATCTATAAATTTTCCACAGATGTCTTTGAAGAAATTAATAGAACAAATAATGGAGAAAAATGAAAAATATATCTAAGAATGAGGAAGATGTAGTAAACAATAAATGGTTGTAAGGAAATAAACCGATGTAATACATGTTAAAGCTTAATGAAATATTAAATTTAAAAAGAAACAACCTGATATTTACCACTCAGATGATCTAAAAAAGGGCTGAGGAGTAAAGAAAATAAAATTATTCTAACACCCTTTTATTAGGGGAGAATGTAAATACTAATTATCCTTGGTGTGTTCATTTGTTAGGGCTGCCATAACAAGGTACCACAGACTGGGTGACTTATTAAACACACAGAAATTTTTTACTTTCTCACAGTTCTGGAGACTAAACATCCCAAACCAAGGTGTTGACAGTGTTGTTTCTTCTGAGGTCTCTCTACTTGGCTTGTAAATCAATGCCTTCTCCCTGGGTCTTCACAAGGTCCCTCCATCTGATATGTGCTTGTATCTGAATGTCCTCTTGTTAAAATGGACACCAGCCATTGGATGAGAACCTACCTTAATAACTACATTTAACCTTAATTGACTTTTTAAAGACCCTATGTTCAAATAAATTCACATGTTATAGAATTAGAAGTTAACTTATTAGGGGAACTTCAACATAAAAATTTTGAGGTGTGGCACAATCCAATTCCTAACAACTGGAATGGGTGAATTTACATGATATAGTAAACAAAGTAAATGTATGATACAGTTATTGCTAGAGAATCAAATATATATAACTTTCAAACAACTAGAGAAAAACATTGAATGAATAAAATTGAGTTAACAAAATAAGAAGTAAGAAAAAAGATTCTTTTTTTAAAAAAGAAGCAGCAAGTACAGCTGACCCTTGAACAACTCAGAGGTTATGAGTACCAACTACCCTCACAGTTGAATATCTGTATATAACGTTTGACAACCCCGAAATGTAACCAATAGCCTACTGCTGATTGGAAGCCTTACCAACACATAAACATTGGATTAACATATGTTTTGTATGTTCTCTGTATTATATACTGTATATTTACAACCAAGTAAGCTGGAAAAAGGAAAATTTACTAAGAAAGTCATAAGGAAGAGAAACTACATTTACTGTTCATTAAGTGGAAGTGGACCATCATAAGGTCTTTGTCCTCATTGTCTTCTTGGTGAGCAGGCAGAGGACAGGCAGAAAGAGGAGGTTATACGTGTATAAATGGATCTGTGCAGTTCAAACGCATGTTGTTCAAGGGTCACCTGTATTCTAATACAAAACACAAAGTTTGATAGTATAAATTGATCTAGACATTAGCAGTTAGGCTACAGTAACCAAAATAGCATGGTACTGGTATAAAAACAGGCACATAGAATAATGGAACAGAATAGAGAACTCAGAAATAAAAAAAAAGTACATCTACAACCATCTGATCTTTGACAAATCTGAAAAAAATAAGCAATGGGGAAAGGATTCCCTATTTAATAAATGGTGCTGGGAGAACTGGCTAGCCATATGCAGAAAATCAAAACTGGACTGCTTCCTTATATCTTATACAAAAATTAACTCAAGATGGATTAAAGACTTAAATGTAAAACCCAAAACTATAAAAACCCTAGAACAAAATCTAGACAATACCATTCAGGATATAGGCACAGGCAAAGATTTTTTGATAAAATCAGAAAAAGCAATTGCAACAAAAGCAAAAATTGACAAATGGGATCTAATTAAAATAAAGAGCTTCTTCACAGCAAAATAAACTATCATCAGAGTGAACAGACAATGTACACAATGCGAGAAAATTTTTGCAATCTATCCATCTGACAAAGGTTTAATATCCACAATCTACAAGGAACTTCAGCAAATTTACAAGGAAAAAAACAACCCCATTAAAAAGTGGGCAAGGGACATGAACAGACAGTTCTCAAAAGAAGACATTTATGTGGCCAACAAACATATGAAAAAATGCTCAACATTATTGATCATTAGAGAAATGCAAATCAAAACCACAATGAGATACCATCTCATGCCAATCAGAACGGCAATTATTAAGAAGTCAAGAAATAACAGATGCTGGCGAGGTTACAGAGAAATAGAAACACTTTTACAGTGTTGGTAGGAATGTAAATTAGTTCAACCATGGTGGAAGACAGTGTGGTGATTCCTTAAAGATTTAGAACCAGAAATACCACTTGACTCAGCAATCCCATTACTGGGTATATACCCAAAGGAATATAAATAATTGTATTATAAAGATACATGCATGTGTATGTTCATTGCAGCACTATTCACAATAGCAAAGACATGGAATTAACTGAAATGCCCATCTACAATAGACTGGATAAAGAAAATGTGGTACATATACACCGTGGAATACTACGCAGCATAAAAGAGAATGAGATCATTCCTTTGCAGGAACATGGATGAAGCTGGAAGCCATTATCCTCTGCAGACTAACACAGAAACATAAAACCAAATACTGCATGGTCTTACTTATAAGTGGAAGCTGAGAAATGAGAACTCATGGACACACGGAGGGGAACCACACACACTGGGGTTTGTTGAGGAAGGGCAGGGTGGATGAGAGCATCAGGAAAAATAGTTAATGCATTCTGGGCTTAACACCTAGGTGCTGGGTTGATAGGTGCAGCAAACCACCTTGGCACACATTTACTTATGTAACAAACCTGCACATTTTACACATGTATCCTGGAACTTAAAACTAAAAATAATTAACCTGTCATATTAAATATGCATGTTTATTTCCCTATTAAAAGACAAGAACTCTCAGAATGTGTTTAAAAATATTCTAGCTATATATTATATGAAAGACAGACACCTAAAATAAATTGAAACCAAAGGTTTTACATAAAGGGATAGCAGAAGAAATAATAGAAGAAAAGTTAATAAAAAGAGGTTTAAGAATATTAGCATGAAACAACAACAACAAAGAATATTAGGATGAAACAAAAGGAATTTCAAGGTAAAAACAAAAAACAAAAAAACCCTAAAAAAAAGGGTCTGTCTTCCTAAGATGGCTGAATAGGAACAGCTCTGGTCTACAGCTCTCAGTGAGATCAGCGCAGAAGGTGGGTGATTTCTGCATTTCCAACTTAGGTACGTGGCTCATCTCATTGGGACTGGTTGGACAGTGAATGCAGCCTATGGAAGGCAAGCTGAAGCAGGGTAGGGCGTTGCCTCACCTGGGAAGTGCCAAGGGTCGGGGAACTCCCTCCCCAAGCCAAGGGAAGCCATGAGGGACTGTGCCGTAAGGAACGGTGCACTCCAGCCCAGATATTATGCTTTTCCCATGGTCTTCACAACCCGCAGACCAGAAGAGTCTCTCCAGTGCCTACACCACCAGGGCCCTGGGTTTCAAGCACAAAACTGGGTGGCTGTTTGTGCAGATCCTGAGCTAGCTGCAGGAGTTTTTTTTTTTTTCATATCCCACTGGTGCCTGGAATGCCAGTGAGACAGAACTGTTAACATCCCTGGAAAGGGGGCTGAAGTCAGCCGGCCAAGTGGTCTAGCTCAGCAGATCCCACCTGCACAGAGCCCAGCAAGCTAAGATCCACTGGCTTGAAATTCTTGCTGCCAATCCAGCAGTCTAAAGTCAACCTGGGACACTCAAGCTTGGTGGGAAGAGGGGTGTCCACCATTACTGAGGCTTGAGTAGGTGGTTTTCCCCTCACAGTGTAAACAAAGCTGGAAATGGTATTGGGAAAACTGGCTAGATATATGCAGAAAACTGAAACTGGACCCCTTCCTTACACCTTATACAAAAATTAACTCAAGATAGATTAAAGACTTAAATGTAAAACCTAATACCATAAAAACCCTAGAAGAAAACCTAGGCAATACCATTCAGGACATAGGCATGGGCAAAGATTTCACGACTAAAACACCAAAAGCAATGGCAACAACAAAAGCCAAAATTGACAAATGGGATCTAATTAAACTAAAGAGCTTCTGCACAGCAAAAGAAACTATCATCAGAGTGAACAGGCAACCTACAGAATGGGGGAAAATTTTTTCAATCTACCCATCTGACAAAGGACTAATATCCAGAATCTACAAGGAACTTAAGCAAATTTATAAGAAAAAACCCCATCAAAAAGTGGGTGAAGGATATGAACAGACACTTCTCAAAAGAAGACATTTATGCAGCCAACAAACATATGAACAAAAGCTCATCATCACTGGTCATTAGAGAAATGCAAATGAAAACCATGATGAGATACCATCTCATGCCAGTTAGAATGGCAATATAAAAAATCAGGAAACAACAGATGCTGGAGAGGATGTGGAGAAATAGGAATGCTTTTACACTGTTGGTGGGAGTGTAAATTAGTTCAGCCATTGTGGAAGACAGTGTGGCGATTCCTCAAGGATCTAGAACTAGAAATATCATTTAACCCAGCAATCCCATTGCTAGGTATCTACCCAAAGGATTATATATCATTCTACTATAAAGACACATGCACACGTATGTTTGTTGCAGCACTGTTCACAATAGCAAAGACTTGCAACCAACCCAAATGCCCATCAATGATAGACTAGATAAAGAAAATGTGGCACATATATACCATGGAATACTATGCAGCCATAAAAAGGATGAGTTCATGTCCTTTGCAGGGACATGGATGAAGCTGGAAACCACCATTCTCAGCAAACTAACACAAGAACAGAAAACCAAATACTGCGTGTTCTTACTCATAATTGGCAGTTGAATAATGAGAACACATGGACACCAGGAGGGGAACATCACACACCAGGGCCTGTCAGGAGGTTAGGGACTAGGGGAGGTTTAGCAGGAGAAATATTTAATGTAGATGACGGGTTGATCGGTGCAGCAAACCACTATGGCACGTGTATAACTATGTAACAAACCTGCACGTTCTGCCCATGTATTCCAGATCTTAAAGTATTAAAAAAAGAAAAAAAAAGTTACCAACAACAAAAAAAGTTACCAACAAAAAAAAAAAGGCCAGATGGATTCACAACTGAATTCTACCAGACATGCAAAAAATAGTTGGTAACAATCCTACTGACACTATTCCAAAAGATAGAGAAAGAGGAAATCCTCCCCAAACAATTTTGTGAAGCCAATATCACCCTAATACTAAAACCAAGGGTTTAACACCAGCCTGAGCAACATAGGAAGACCCCACCTCCACAATAAATAAATAAATAGCCAAGTATTGTGATCCATGCTTGTGGTCCCAGGTACTCTGGAGGCTGAGGCAGGAGGACTGGTTGAGGCTGAAGTGAGCTGTGATCAGGCCACTGCACTGTAGCCTGGGAGACAGAGTGAGATCCTGTAGCAAACAAACAAACAAAGGAAAAAAAGAAAAGGTGCTCAGTATCATTGATAATCAGATAAATGCAAATGAAAACTAAAATGAAATATCATCTCACTGCAGTTAAAATGGCATTTTTCCCAAAATACAGGCAATAACAAATGCTGGTGAGAATGTGGAGAAAGGGGATCCTTGTAAACTCTTGGTGGGAATGTAAATTAGTACAACAACTATGGAGAAAAGTTTGGAAGTTCCTCATAAAACCGGAAGTACAGGTACCATATGATCCAGCAATCCTACTGCTAGGTATATATCCAAAAGAAGGGAAATCGGTATATTGAAGTGATATCTGCACTCTCATGTTTATTGCAGCACTGTTCACAATAGCCAAGATTTGGAAGCAACCTAAGTGTCCATCAACATATGAATGGATAAAAAAATGTGGTGCATATAGACAATAAAGTACTATTAAGCCTTGAAAGAAAAAAATGAGAGTCTGTCATTTGCAACAAAATGGATGGAACTGGAGACCATTATGTTAAGCAAAATAAGTCAGGCACAAAAAAGACAAGCTTCACATATTCTCACTTATTTGTGTGAACTAAAAATTACAACAAATGAACTCATGGAGACATAGTGGCTGGGAAGGGTAGTGGGGGTTGGGGGGAAGTTGGAATGCTTAATGGGTACAAATAAGTAGTTGGAAGAATGAACAAAACCTACCATTTGATAGTACAACAGGGTGACCATAGTAAATAATAATTTTATTGTACATTTTTAAGTAACTAAGAGTAAAAAAAAATTACATTAAATAAAATGACTAAAGGTTTAATTGGATGGCCTGTAACACAAAGGGTAAGTGCCTGAAGTGAGGGATACCTCATTTACCCTAAAGTGATTATTATGCCTTGCATGTCTGTATCAAAATATCTCATTTATCCCCAAAGTATCTACACCTACTATATCCTCACTAAAATTAAAAATAAATAATTATAAAAGAGAAATAACCATGTAGTTGATATTTAATACTGTTGTCTTTCTAGAAAACTAAGGAGAGCCAACTAAAGATATCATTAAAAATATTAATATGAGAATGTTAAGTAAATACTTTCTAAAAATCAGTATTTGTATTATATGCCAACTGAAGCAAACTAAAAACCAAAACAGAAAACAAAATTTTACATTATTTGTAATCACAAAATATTAATTATCTAGGAATTGACTCATAAGAAATATGTGGGACATATTTGAATAAAGTAAAAAACTTTACCATTTTTTAAAAAAAACACTTGATTTCCTAGATTCAAGAACTTAATACTGTAAATATTTTAATTCGTCTCAAACTAATTTGGTTGGTTTAATGTAATTACAACCATGATCTCAATGACTGTATTTTTGCAACTTAATGTGTTGTAAAGTTTATCTGAAAAAATAAGTTTGTGATAATAACAAAATGATTTTTATCAGGAAGAGATGTTAAGGGTCACTAAAACATAACAAAACATATTATAAAATTGTAATTTTTTAAATAGTATATTCCTGTGGTGAGATTAGAAAATTATATCAATGGGCCAAATTGGAAAGCCCTCCAAAATTCTAGAATGTAAGAGGTTTTATATTCTTATTTGGTTAACATGCCATTGCAAATGCATAAAGGTAATTAAAAAAAGATAGTAGTCAATTAATTTATTAAAACTAAGAACAACAAATCAACATTATAGTATGTACTATTATTTTATTAAATGCTAAGGGAAAATGTTAGTAGATAAACTAAAACAAAATGCTTTTTTATTACATAGACTTGTTACTACATACAAGGGAAAACTTGCACCCACTGTTACTGTCAATGAAGTTTCATTGGACATAGCCACGTCCATTCATGTCCGTATTGTCCATGACCACTCTTGCACTAGAATGGCAGCATTGAAGAGTTGTGAAACAACCTGCCTGGCCCACAAAGCCTAAAATACTTACTATCTATTCCCTTACAGAAAAGTTTGTCAACTCTTTGTCTATATTTTTTGAAAGAGCGATTTTAGACTTCTTTAGATATAAGACTTTTAATCTGTAAAGTTTTTTCTGTAAATAAAAAAAATAGTATAAATGTAATAAATTATTTATGACATGAATAAAACTTCTTGCCACTTAAAGTATAGCTCTTTGATTGGGCGCAGTGGCTCATGCCTGTTATCCCAGCACTTTGGGAAGCCAAGGCGGGTGGATAATTTGAGGTCAGGCGTTTGAGACCAGCCGGGCGTGGTGGTTGGCGCCTGTAATTCCAGCTACTCAAGAGGCTGAGGTGGGAGAATCACTTGAACCCCAGGAGGCAGAGGTTGCAGTGAGTCGAGATGGCGCCACTGCACTCCAGCATGGGCAACAGAGCAAGACTCTGTCTCAAAAAACAAACAAACAAAAACAAAAAACAAATAAAGTATAGCTCTTCAAGTTTCCTTTTTCACTCAGGATTGTTCATATCTTTTTTTTTTTCATGTAATAGTGTCCTCTGTTCATCTAGAACTTCAGTAATATGGCATTTCCTAAAAACATGTCCTATTTTTTCTGGTATCTTCTTCCAAGACTCTGACACCTACTATCCAAGATTAAAGTTGACACTGTCTTGATCTTAACAGATAGAATCAGGTGAGAACTGTGCCTGACAGTGAAGGTAAGACCCCTCTGGTTCTATGAGGAATTCTGCTTTCAGAGATATTAAAATGTGAAAAATGAGTGTTTTTGCAATAATGAAATACAGTTGACTCTTTCTTCACACTATCTGAGAATAAATTCTAGATGGAAAAAAAAGCATAATAATGAAGTTCAAAAGAACCAGAGGAAACGGAAGTGAGTATGTACATAATCTGGTAGTGAGGGGGTCTTTTCTAAAAATAATAGCATTAGAAGAAACCATAGTGCAAAACATTGATACACTTACTTGTACTGTGATCTCGGGCAGGAACCTATCTCTTTGCCTCACTTTCCCTATCCTTAAGATGAGAACAACAATATTATCTACCTCACAGGGCTATTTTGAGTCTTAAATGAGTTGATATATCAAGCACTTAGAATAATGCTTGGTATATATATAGTAAGGGCTATATAAATTTGAGCTTTCATTGTTTGACCAAAAAAATGGAAGACTGGTGTCTACAAAAATATGGCCATATACATTTCTGCTGTGTATAGATTTTCCCCCATAACTATATAATGTTGACTTTGCCCCAGATAAAGATGTCTTCACTCTTTGGGTATAATCATGTTTTAAATACATGAATTAGATATTTCATAACTGAAAGAGACATTGACTGGTCAGCTTTTAACATGCCCTATCAATCTTTATTAAGTTAAAATTCAAACTTCTTAGATATTCCTACATTTCCTTTGCTGTTCACTTGGGTGCAACATTTCTGCATCTCTATTTCTTACTCATATTGAAAGGGACTGACAGTTAAAGGGAGATGTGGAATCCTATGTGGGTCAGTGTTGTATGTGTGCACACGTGGGTGTAAGCAGCAGCCTATAACTAAGCAGTCTCTCATGCAACTGGAGAGGTTGCCTTAATCCCTTTCTTAGACATTTCACAGAGTGGGAAGGCAGAGGTTGTGACTGATAATCCACTCACAGCTTTCACAGGGATTAATTCCATTATATTATGCAAAGTTCCTATCTAGGCAATCCTATTAGAAGGTAAAGAAATCCTCTCTCTAAACAAATCTTCCCTATAAATAGATCTAAACAACTGAATGGAATTTGCATATTTTACTCCTGTTCTCTCAGTGCAAGCATGCGAATAAGTTAACATAGGGAAGAGTGCTTTTTGGCAAACCTTATCTAGAGACAATTATTGCAATATAATATTCTCTATTCCAATAAGTAAGGGAAAAACATTCATGTTCTGATATCAAGAGACTTTCAGTCCTCATAGGGGTTTCTGTAAGAATCTACCCTGGCACTATGCATTAATTAAAAAAAAAAAACACCCTACGTAAGATTAAAAGACCAATTATACGTTGGGAAAAATGTTTAAAAAATGTGTGGTGGATAATACCTTGCTTTTCTTCATACAAAAAGATATAATAAAAGTGAAATGATGAACACCACATTTAGGACAAGAGAGCACATAAAACAAGAATGTTTGGGAAAAAAAGAAAAACAAACAATCAATAAATTATTTGAAAATATGTGTAACCAACCTAGTGGTCAGACAAATGCAGTTTAAAATGTGATACTATGCTTCACCTGTCATACTTGTAAAAGTTAACAATAATAATGATTCCCAATATAGCAATGAATTCTTTAAAACATAATTTCATACACTGTTGTTGGTATAACTATTCTTTAAGGCTTCTTGTATCTACAAAAAGCTTTAAAATGTGAATATACTTTGACCAAATGATTCTATATATAAAATATACCTTTGAAAAATAAGAGGAAAATTGAGCAATATACAGGAAAAATTTATTTCATCATTATCTAAGTAGTTGAATTATTGGAGATAACCTAAATTATCCTAAATAAGAAACTTAAAATTTGTTACATATTCTGAGTGCTTTGTTTCTTTTCCTCTCAGGGGTTTGGGGATGGATTTGGATAACGTCAGAGTAATCAAGCATACCTGCCCATATACCTTAAATCACATTTATCACACCATTATAATTATATCTCTCAGTCTGGCCTAAGCTGATAGACTTCTTTCTCAAGGTAATTTCTTTGACTTAGGGATTGTCCCTTTCTCCAAGTTGCTTCCTTAAATTATTTATTTATTTATTTATTTCTGGGTATCTATAAGGTCACACACAGAGCTGTGCATAATCTCGCTGGCTAAACTTAAGTTTCTGTAAAGGCAAGAAGTGAATACTAATGCTGTAAATGGGCATGAACATTGAGGGTAAAACCCAATAGCTGCATAGAATTCTTTGGCAAAGAAAAGAAGCCTAATTTGTTCAAAAAATTTATGAAAACCACTGACCATGTAATAGCTGACCAGACCAATAAGCTAACTGAATAGAGACTTCATCATCATTGTCAAATTATCAAAATCCAAGGACAAAGTGAAAACTTTAAAGTACTGAGAGAACAATAATGTATCACATACAAAAGATACTCAAAAAGATTAATAGCTGACTTCTCATCAGGAACCAGGGTGCTCAGAAGGCACTGGAATTTATTTAAAGTGCTGAAAGAAAAGGATTGTCAACTAAGAATTCTAAATCGAGCAAAACTATAATTCTAAAATGAAGAAGAAATTAAGACATTTCTAGATAAATAAAAACTGGACAATTTATCACTAACAGATGTGCCCTAAAAGAAAGTAAAAGGGAGACACCAAGACTGAAATGAAGGCATATTAGACAGTAACTTGAATCCACAAAAAGAAATGAAGAGCATCAGTAATGATAATTATCAAGGTAAACGTAAAGATACAATAAACATATTTTTTTCTTGTAGCTTTTCTGATTTAAAAGAAAATTGTACAAAGCAAGACTTATAAAACTATGTGGATAGGCTTCTAATGAATAAAAGTCTAGTTTGTTTTTCAGTACTCTCACAGAGAAAGGTGAAGAAACTGAAGCTGTTGAGCAAAGCTTCTGTATGCTACTTAAATTAAGTGTTAATCCTAACGACTTTGATTGACCTTAAAACGCTAATTGTGTATACTCAGAAATATATAGTGAAAGAACAGAAAGAAAAGTAAATGATACAGTAGAAAATTATCTATTTAACACAGAGGAAGGCAGTGTTGGAAGAACAGAGGAAAAAATTAGGACAGATAGAAACAAAAAGTGAAATGGTAGAAATCCTACCCTACTGCTGATTACATTTAATACAATTGGATTAAGCATTTCAGTAAAAATGTAGAGGTTGGCAGAATGAATTTAAAAAACCCACAATCCAACTATATCCTGTCTAAAAGAGATATGCTTAAAGGCAAATAGTCAAATAGATTGAAAATAAAAAGATACATACACACACACACACACACACACATATATATATATATATAACACAAACACTTACTAAAAGAGGAGTGGCTATTTTAACATAAGACAAAAAGAGAATTTAAGACAGAAGTTAACAAAGAATATTTTATAATGATAAAATTACAAATACATCATGAAGGTATAACAACTATAAACACATACGCACTGAACAATGGAGCTACAAAATTACATGAAGCTAAAATGGACAGAATTTAAGCAGGGGAAAAGACAATCTAATAATAAGAGTTTGAGACTTCAATACTCCACTTTCAGTAATGACTATAAAAGTAAGCATAACACCTACAGAAAAATATAATACTTGAACAACACTTAAATCAACTAGACCTATAGAATACTCCTCAAAACAAAGAAATACACATTTTTCTTAAGCAAACATGGAACATTCTCCAGAATAGATTATACGATAGTCCATAAAGCAAACCTTAATAATTTAAAAAAGCTGAAATCATACAACATATGTTATTTGATCACAATGGAATTACATTAGAAATCAACAATAAACATTTCTACATAAGCAATGGATCAAAATATAATGAGAGATCAAAATATAGTGAGAGATCAGAATAAAACTAGAAACTACTTTGAGATTAATGAAAACAAAATTACAACATACCAAAACATGGCATGTGGCTAAAGCAGTGCTTAGAGGAAAATTTATAGCAATAAACACTGATATTTTAAAGAATACAAATCTTGAGTCAATAACCTAACTTAATACTTTATACAACTAATAATATAATAATATGTACAGATCATAGATGCACATATATATGTGCATGTATGGTATGTACATATATTCTCTACCTTTTCCTCTTTCCTTTGCCCTTCTTTCCCATCTCTCTCTCTTTCTCTGCTATCTATCTACCTATCTATCATCTATCTATCATCTATCTATCTATCTATCTATCTATCTATCTATCTATCTATATCTGTCTATCATCTATTAATATCTACCAAGGCTTTTTGTGTGCCAGGAACTGTTCTAGCCACTATAGATGTGCAACTCCCAAGTAGCTTATGTTCCAGTGAGTAAAATTCCACTAGGTATCTGGGACCTGAGCAAAACAAGAAATGTTACTTTTCATTTTTCAATGTCTCTAAATACTCTGTGACATGTAAGATAAACCCTTGACTTTGTAAAGTAGTTAGGCAGCTTGTTTGTGTCTATGTCCAGATGATACATAAACACCATTACCTCATCCAAACCCTAGCAAATCTTCTCTGACTCAGTTAAGATTCTTAAATTTAAATTCCAAATGTTCTACAATAAAAGTAGGATGTAAATAATTTGCTGAAATTTGGCAGGGGAAATTGAGGAAGAAGACTTTTAAGGCAGAAAAAGTCATTTAAAAAAAGCATAAAATCATATAAGATATTCTGGAAATATCAAATAGTCCCGTTTTGCTGGTGCAAAGAAAAGTTGAACGGGAGCACTATTGTTCAGGATTTAAAGTCTAATTGGAACAGGAAAATGACATTATGTGAACATGGATAAAGAGAATGAACATAGCCCCTTCCCTGCTGAATGTGTTGGAGTGTGGAGTGATTAGCAGTCTTATAATTTTTAAGCTCTTGCAATACTTCAAGCAAGTAAGGTAAGATGGGGAAGGGAACAAAGGTAAAGTCTAAGTGGAGAGAGAGGACCATTGAAAGGAAGAACACAAAGATGATTCTATAGTCACATTAATAGTACATTACAGAACTTTCTCTCACTCACAAGAGTCTTCTTTGCTAGATTAGTAATAACTCCCTTGATTAAAAGGAATGATCCTTATTTAAACTAACAAAAGCTCTATAAGGAAATTTATTATCTAAGAACGAAGAGGTATTTCATATAGTCCAAAGACAGTGATACAAAAATGGGTTGAACCCTGAACATAGAACACCATCATGCCCCATTTTTCAAATTGCTTTTCCTTTTGCATTTCCATAAGTTGGCTTTATTCTCTTTCTATTTCTCTCTCTGTAGAATATTTTTCTCTCTTTTTCTCATAAAACAAAAATGTAATAAAAAATACAAAGGCCTTTGATAGGTCCTGAATTTACATGTTCAGGAGAGTTGAGTTATCCTAAACTCTGTTAATCCAATATTCTCAAAGCCCACCACTAGACAAATCAAATTTCACAACAGGGCACTTTCAGGTTAAAAAGCATGATTCTCAGAAATTTCTCCAAAAAGAACCAAAGGAATTTCTTCAAAGATCACTGTGATCTCGGGACACAATTCATGCTATCTAATATTTTACTATAAACACAATCTGTGCTCTTTGAGTTACTTGAATATTTGTTTCCATGGTGTAGTAAACACATCATGTTAACTCATGAAATCAAAGTTTGTAATGAAAAAACTCTCCATTCTTTTACTTTTTCAATTTTAATTCTCTTAATATTTATTTCTGAATCCTCTTAGAATGTGGTAGATACTATAAGAATTTGATTAATGCTGAAATTAATATAATCATTACTTTCTGACTTTTGCATGTTTGTATACCTTTTAGTATATCCAAATTATATTATATTTTTAACAACAGCATTACATTTTTTCCCCACGGTCAGTTGGTAATCATTTATTTTTGTAGTCGTTGATTATCCGTTGGCTTTTTCTTATTTTCAAAATATCTTTCTTCAACTTGTGTTTGTGGTTTTGCCTTGTTTTTGCCATCAAAATGTTTTATTTAATTGAGACAGATCTATTTCCTAATATATTACACTAATAGGTTAATTTAAATTATGTTCTCATTTTCTTGGAGTCTATAATCATCAGCTACTTTGAGGAGAATTTAAAAAGAAAGTATAAGAAGAAGAAAAAAGAGACATTTGGCCCTGGACATGTTCCTTGTAGGTACCATTTTACTGTCCCTTAGTATCTATCATTATTAATATCACTTAATTTTGATTTAGTGAAAAATTAATTTATACTTAGTTTTTCCATTTATTCCTCTCCCATTTACTCCTCAAACTAGAGCCAACATATTTCTCACTCCTCCATCAAAAAACAAACAAAAAACTCACCCTATCAAAAAATAAACACTGGGTAATTCTCTCTCCCTTTCATGATCTTTCAGCAGCATATGGCAGGTTGATTCTTTTTTAAACTAGCTTTCTTCATGCTTCTATAACAGTTTATTGTTGTTGATTATTTTGTAGGTTACCTATTATCTGCCTACATTTTATTAATATTTCCCCAAAGCTCTTCCTGGCCCCATTCCTAACCTCCTGGAGTGATTTCATGAACTTCTTGTCACTTCTGTTGTAAGAGTATAGAGTACAAACTCTAGAATAAGATTTGCTGGTTTCAAATCCCAACTCTAGGCAAGTTAATCTTGACATGCATCAATTGCCTCTTCTGTGTAAGAGAAAACATAATAGTAACAATCTCAGGTTTGTTGTGAGGACAAAATTAAGATATGTAAATAGTTTTTAAAATTCCTAGTATATAATAAAATAACATAAATATTAGATCATATGGAAACCAGTACTTTTTATGTTGATAAAATTCATGTATCTATCTGTATTAGTCCATTTTCATGCTGCTGATAAAGCCACACCTGAGACTGGGAAGAAAGAGAGGTTTAATGAACTTACAGTTCCATGTAGCTGGGGAGGCCTCATAATCATGGCAGAAGGCAAGGAGGAGCAAGTCACATCTTATATGGATGGCAGCAGGCAAGAGTGACCTGGTTCAGGGGAACTCCTCTTTTTAAAACCATCAGATCTCATGAGACTTATTCACTATCACAAGAACAGCACAGGAAACACCTGCCCCCATGATTCAGTTACCTCCCACTGGGTCTCTCCCACAACACATGGGAATTCAAGATGAGATTTGGGTGGGGACACAGCCAAACCATACCACTCTATCCCAAAATTTATCTTCTGAGATTTTTTTCTTCTTTTATGATCATTCTATTTTTAATGCACAAATATAGTCTATATTTAAAACAACGTAATATAAGAATTATCTGCCTCAGCATTTAATATTTCTGTCAGCTATATGATGCATACTCCCAGTCAAAAATCAGAGATTCATAACTTCATTTTTAAATGGGTGAACAGTGTTCTCTTATGTGGTATACTGCACTTTAATTAATCTTCCACAGTTGGACATTTGTATTGTAATCCAGTGTATTTCTATAATAATACATTATTAATTTAAAAAGTATTTGTTGAATATTAACAGTTAGAAAATTGATAGACTAGAGAGCTATTCAATTTCTTACCATTCAAGTACATAGTTTGCAATTTAGACCTCAAAGACCAAGAATACTACTACAGTGGCAGCACACTTGTGTAGACTAAAGATATTGGTTGGGAGGCCAGCACTGCTATTGAAGATGTGCTTAAATGTCAAGCCCCCAACTGCCTTTGATCTTGGAATTACTTGTAGCCATTATTCCCTTCCTGCAAGACTACAACGTAAAGTGGGATACACAACAATTATTTTAGTTTGTTTTGGACAGCAAGGTACCTAGAAAGACAAGAATCGCCATAAAACATGAATGTTTCAAAGATCTGTGCAGACTTCTGGCAAGGACATTTCCTGTTTTCAAAGATGAACTGGTGAATCTGGTAAATAGAGAAATTCAAAGAAGATATTCATTACAACTTTCTAAATTAGGGTTTTGAGAGTTTCTAAGGCATGACAGAAGCTTGGAGTACTGAATTAGCCATGTTTCGTAAAGCAGGTACTGATATTTTTAAAGTAAGAATGCTAAGGTGACTCATTTTGTTGAGGCTGCAAGGCAGATACCTCAGCTAGAATGCCTTGGGCGATTGCAAAATCTCAATGGCAGTAGCAAGATACTGAACATGGCTTAACAGTTTCTAAATATGAGTCATTAAGCTAGTTCTTAAGTAATATAAGCTTGAATATACAGTTAACAGATCAACCCCTCCCCTTTCTTCCCCATCCTCAGCTTACTCAATAGGAAGACAAAAAGGATCAAGACGTTTATGATAATCCACTTGCACTTAATAAATAGTAAATATATTCTCTCTTTCTTACAACCTTCTTAGTAAATTTTGTAAAAATACAGCATATAATACATATAACATGCAAAATATATGTTAATCAACTGCTTATATTATCAGTGAGGCTTCCAGTCAACAGTAGGCTATTATAAAGTTTTTGAGGAATCGAAATTTATATGCAGATTTTCTACTGTGCAGGGCTCAACACACCTAACCCTAATTGTTCTAGGGTCAACTGCAATTACTTTTCTCCTTTGTAGATTGATTACTTGCCAGGCAACATATTGGCTCTGAGGATTGAAATGTAAATAAGACGTGGTCTGATGTCTCAGAACTCATGGTCTAACAGCAGATGTGGACATATAAACAATTAATAGTACTTTCCAATTAGAAAAAGAAAAATGGCATTTCAGAGCATAGGAATCATGTGCAGAAAAGCACAGTGCCAAGACCTTGTTATGACATATTTGGTAACTGAACAGACATGTTAGCCTTCTAGAAATGAAAATTAATAAAATCAAACAACTCTGAAAAAAAGGAATAACAATAAAGCCCTAACATTCTGTCTTTGACAATCCCCTCTCCTTGGGCAAGCACAAATCCTCAGTGAGAAGACAGTATTCAAAGTTATCTTCTTTCTGGAATACTTTATCAAATTATTATATTAGTATAATTCCTGGTAATCCCTCATATTGTAAGAATTATGTATTACTATGTGAAGACTTTTTTAAAAGTTTACAACATATATTTCCACTAAATTACTCATACTATAGTAATTTTGCCATTTGATTGTATATTTGGGCAACACTGAAAAGATTTGTGTCTCTATTGACTTTTGATAGGAAATGCTCGTACTGTGAGATGCATAGAACATTCCCCAACTTTTCACCTAACTCTCATTCATTCTTCATGTCTCTCCCTAAATGTGACTTTCCATAGCAAGCCTTCCCCGACCTCTTAGACTATTTTTACTCCCAGATTATACTCTTTTCATGTCATCATAAGAATCATACTTTACTGTAATTCTTCATGAGATTATTTTTCTCTCTCACTATGAAACTATAACCAGGGAGCCATACCCTTTTTACTTAACTTTGTACACCCAGAATCCATCACCTGCTTTCTCACATCAACTAAAACCATTAAGTGGTAGAGTCTGTTAATCAGCCATGGCCTTAGAAGTAGTTTTTCCTGAAATTAATGGCACATGACAGTAATATGGCCTATGTTGACACATATTTGAAGGATAGTAGAGTTTAAGCAGGACAGTCTCTTTTCTGGGAACACAGCAAAAACAAACCTGCATATTTGAATATCAAATTCAGTGTTCTTAGCTGAGCTAACCAGTCACAGAAAGGTCAGTCTTATTGTTTGGGCAATGTGACGAGGGATACAAGTAGTGACATTTCAAAACTGATTGAATCAAACAGTAGAATATTAGTCACTGGCTATGATTCTGTCCTGACAGGAGAATGAACTGGCTAACTTAACCACTGTCAGAACTCTATATGGTTTGAAGAAATCTCTATTATAACAGAACTCTATATGGTTTGAAGAAATCTCTATTATAACACAGGATTTTTAAAGTTTATGATATATCATTATCCTAAAACATTAAGGTACAGATGTAAATAGACATGAATGGAAATATCCTCCTTCAGCCTCTAACTCATAACCCCAAGTTACTCCCCTTCCCTAAAGTAGCTACTGTTAATCTTTTGTTGTGTGTTCTTAAAATTATTTAGATATATTTGCATGTGTGTAGAGAGTGCATTTTTATATCACTGATATAGATTTAATGCCTTATATATTAAATAGCTGTATTGTATATTTTGTAGTGTATATGTCTATAATTTAACCATTTTCCCGTTATTCAATCTTTTGATTACCTAAAGATTTTTGCACTTTAAAAAATACTGGAGTAAATATTTTTTAAGTACAGACATCTTTTTGTACAGAATATAGATTTCTTTTAGATACCAAAGAATGGAAATCCAGATGGAAAGACATCTATGTGTTTTTAAATTTTGCTGAAATTATTTTAAAAGGCCTTTCCTTTCCATAGTCTCATCAGTTGAACATGCGTGTACATATTTCTCCACACTTCATCAATTTGAATATTATTAATCTTTCAGGGAGGCTAAAATACCCCATTTTATTTTGGTTGTATTTCCATAATTATAAGTAAAATTGAGTGTTTTTTATACATTTCTTATTTCTTCTTTTACTAATGACCTGTTCATAACTCTTGTCCATTTTTCTATCGTTTTTTTCTCATTGACTTGAATGAGCTTTTAAAATATATGATGGCTATTATTTGTTAGATGTGTTGCAAATGTCTTCTGTCAATTTGTTACTTTTTCATAACTTTGTCAAGACTTCTTTTATTATGTAGGTTGTACATTTATTTTATAATTCTGAAAAGTTTTAAGAAAGTCATTCCTACTTACAAGACAGCCTAACATTTAGGCTTAAATTTTCTTTTTAGATTTACTACTGATTCTTTTTTAAAATTTGATTACTCCTGGATATTGAGTGAAAACAAGAAAGTCTATCTTATATTTGTTAATGGAGGAATTCACCTATATTTTTATAGTGCTTGATTAGATTTTCTAAGGATTTCAATATTTGGTTTATTTGGTAATTTATTTGTATGTCTGCAGTGAATAATGGATCAATTTAACTTTTATATGGTTATCTAGTGCCCTAACTTTATTTATTAAAAATCTGTCTCATTCACAGAAATGAGAGATATCCACTTAATCATATGTTTGTCTTCTGAGTCATAACATATCACATATCTATTTCTGAACTTTCTATTCTATTTCATTGGTTTGTCCACTCATGTGCCAGTGCCACACTGTTTTAATTATAAAGGCTTTATATGTTTAACATAAGATTGAGGGAATTCCTCTCCCTTAGCCTTTCTTTTCAATATTTTCCTAGCTATTTTTGCACATTTATTTTTCCTATATCAAATTTAATATTAATTCATCTGGCTTCAGAATAAATGCTAATTAGTATTTAGTTGGGAACACATTACATGCATAGGTTAATTTAGGGAACATTAACTTATTTATAATTTTGAGACGTCCTGTATATACACAAACAGTGTCTACTTGTTCAGTTCAATTTTTTTTTTTTGAGATAGGATCTCACTCTATTGCCCAGGCTGGAATGCAGTGGCACGATCTTGCCTCACAGCAACCTCCACCTCCTGGGTTCAAGTGATTCTTGTGCCTCAGCCTCCCAAGTAGCTGGGACTATGGGCATGCACCACCACACCCAGCTAATTTTTGCACTTTCAGTAGAGATGGGGTTTTGCCATGTTGGCCAGGCTGGTCTCAAATTCCTGGCCTAAAGTTATCTTCCTGCCTTGGCCTCCCAAAGTACTGGGTCAATTTAATTTTTGTGCTTTTTGGAAATATTTTATAGTTTTTTATATAAGTTTTGAACATTTTAATCTATTTTTTTCTGTAGAAGAAGTTTTCCCTTACATTATAACTTTAAACTGGTTATTATTTGTATATGTGATGCTATTGTTTTATTATTGATTCTTTAAGAGTTTGCAGATATACTATTCCATCATTAACATATATGTCAATATAATAAGATAAATTAGCCAATGCAGTTAGATAAGAGAAAACAAATGAAACAAAGTAAAACCATAAGTATATTATAGTTTTCTATATTAGGTCTATGTTTCACTTTAAATAAGACGGTAGATTTTTGGAGATACACAAAAGTTGCAGAAGCAGCAATTTATTCTATTTTCTTGAGAGTTTGTATTAGAAATGTAGAAATATTCAATTTTGTCAAGTGGTTTTTCACTGTCTATAGAAATAATGATACAATTTTTTTCTCATTAGTCTTATATTGTGATAATACATAGTATTAAACTATGCTTAGATTCATGGTATAAATTCTACTTAGTCATACTATATTGTTTCCTTAGTATGATATTAAAGTCAAATAGACAAAATTGACTTAGGATTACTTCCTCAATATCATAAGCAATACTGTTCTGTAATTTTCTTTTGTTTTTGTGCTATCTTTGTCAGGTTTGGGAATCAACATTGTTCTAGCTTCATAAAAATAATTGTAGTTTTCTTTTTCTTAATACTCTGAAAAAATTTATTGAGCATTTGAAATGTCTGACCTCAAAAAGTTTTAATTTATCTTGACTCCAAATGGGCCTGTGCTTTTCTGTTAGTTGGATCCTTGTTGAAATTTTTTGCTTCATCTGTGAGAGTTGATCTTTTATATGCTTTCAATTTTGGTAACCTGTATTTTCCTAAGAAAGTTTGTGTTTCATTTAGGCTTTCCAATTTACTTGCATGGGGATGCTCAAAATAATAATATATATATATATGAATTTACTTGCATATATATATACACACACATACACATCTATATATACACATATGTAAATTGCATATGTATATATACACACACATATACATACATATATACATATATACACACACATATATGTATGTACATGTGATACATGTACAGTGATAGTCTTTCTTTATGTGTCAACTTGACTGGGTTACAGTCCTCAATTATTTGATCAATCATTAATGTAGGTGCTACTATGAAGATATTTTGGAGATGTGACATATACATATGTACATGTATGTGTATGTGAGTACACACATACATATAAGTTTCCTCACTATCAATACAAAGATAAGGATATGGACATCTTGGGGGAAGGTGGAGTCATTATTTAGCATACCAAAATCTGTCCTTTTCAACTGCTTTTGTTACCAATGTGTGTAGTAGTCAGTGTCCAACCAGGCAAATAAAAACAGTGGGGAATATATATTATTCATTGCAAGGAATTAGTTAACATGATTGTGTAAGCTGGCTAGCTCAAAGTCTAAAATCCACAGGGCAGGCTAGAACTCTCAAGGGTAGGCTGAAGCTGCTGTCCACAGGTGGAATTTTTACTTCTAGAAACCCTTACCTTTGTTTTTAAGATCTTTCAACCAATTAAATCAGGTCCAACCAGATTATCTAGAAAAAATTGCCCTCCTTATAGATAAGACTTTAATCACATCTCCAAAATATCTTCACAGAAGCACCTACATTAATGTTTGATAAAATAACTGAGGACCGTTGACAGATAAAGTCAACAGTCCAATCAAGTTGGCACATAAAGGTGAGTATCACTGTCCCCCCATTGTCAACTTGGCACCCTACACATTTCCTTAAATCTTAATATCCAAATAAGACAATAATAAAGTCATACTTTCACATAACACAACTATCTCGAATACAACCTAAAACATGTTAATCCCTTCCCAAAGGGGATGCAAAGTACATGATATTCCTTCTTCTCCTTTGATATCCTTTAACTTAAATGCTGTGATATAAAGTAAATCATTATTACTATGTATTACATTAGATGATAAGTAAGAAAAGAAAAATAGTTAATATACACAAACATATTCATAACAAAATAAGAAAGAAATGCTGATAAATACGAGAGTACTTATTTCTGTACATGGTCATATAGTCACAGTTGGTATTTCTAACTACCCTTTTCTGCTACCTATTCCATATTCCCTTTGCTCTCTGCAAGGACCTCAGTTGGTGTGATTCTATGCATGACAGGGTGATCCACACGTTCATTCCTGAAGGTGCTGACCCATTAGTAATCCTGCCTGAATTTTGGGCGCAGTGGTTTGCCCTGCCACCTCACTTCTCTTATGGATCTAAGCAGAGTTGATTTTTCAGTTTTTTTTTTTTCCAACTTTTTACTTGTTAAAACAGAGTGACAACTTTCAGTTCCTTTCAAATGGAAACAGAAACTGGAAGTCCCTTTGTTATTCTTTTTATTGCCCAATAACATCCCATGGTATAGACTTACCACATTTTATTTATCTATTTCTTTAATCAATTGATAGACATTTAGTTTTTTCACTTTTTTTGCATAATGCTGCTATGAATATTCATGTACAAGTTTTTGTGTGGACATAGGTTTTCATTTCTCTTGGATAGATACCGAGAGATGGAAATACTGAGTCATATGGTAATTCTATGTTTAACCTTTTGAGAAACTGTCAGATTGTTTTTTAAAGTAGTACCATTTTACATTCTTACTAGTAGTGTATAATGGTTCCAACGTCACTACATGCTTGCCAACTCCTATTATCTGTCTCTTGACTGAAGACATAGTAGTGTGAAGTAATATCTTGTAGTTTTTATTTACATTTTTCTGATGACTAATGGTGTTGACCATCTTTTCCTGTGTTCATTGGACACTGGCATACATTCTTTGGAGAAATTTCTATAAAGACCCTTTGCCCTTTTACAATTTGGCTTTTATGTCTTTTTCTTCTTAAGTTGTAAGCATTCCTTGTCAGAGATAGGATTTGCCAAAAATTTCTTTCATCTTGTGGATAGTCATTTGATTTTCTTGATGTTATCTTTTGTGCACAAAAATGTTAATTTTCATGGTGCCCAATTTATCTAATTTTTTTATTGTGTTGCTTTCACGTTTGGTGTCATATCTAAGGAAACATTGACTAACCCAAGTTCATGGAGATTTATACCTATTTTTTGTCTAATAGCTTAATAATTATAGCTCCTAAATTTTGGTCTTTGATTCATTTTGAATTAATTTTGTGTATGATATAAAGTATAATTCCATGCTGGGAGGCTTGAGGGATCATGGTGGACGAGAGGCAGGGCTAGACTGCAGCTCCAGACAGAGCAGCATGCATTTTGTTCTTGCATAATCCAGATCACCTGCAAGAACAAAACAGCAATCTTAAGAGGACCCATAAACCCTCTGAAGGAAGCAGACTGCTCCTCCAGGACCTGGGAGACATCTCAAATACTGTGAGTGCCCCAATTGCAAAAGTGGGAAAGGGAGACACTCCTGCACAAACACACACCCCCACTGCAGAACTTGAAGGTCTGCTTGTAGGAGAAATTCCCGACTTTACCTGGAGCTCAGTCAAGTTAGAGATCAAAGCCAAGCAAAATACAGGGTGGGGTGGAGGAGGCAGTGGAGAGGCCCTAGGATCTCACTGGGTCCCCAAGCAGCCCAATACTGCCTGGCATCACAGGGATCCCTCAGGAGGGTGGCCAGAGGAGCAGGGGATAAAACTCCACAGGGAGAAGGAATTCTCTAGCCGAACTTGGTAACAATTTGAATGGGGCAAGAAGCCTCCCGGCCAGAAGCTGGGGGAGGGCGTAAATCTGGTGTGCAGACTTCACAGGCAGGGGGAAGAACTAAAGCCCTTTTCTTTCGCAGCTGGGAAGTGCAAAGCCTCCGGCAAGTTTTCAAGCCCTTCTCACCCTCCACCTGGAAACGGAATTGGAACTGTTCGGGAGGCACGGTGGGAGTGAGACCAGCCCCTCAGTTTGCATGGGAGCTGGGTGAGGCCTGTGACTGCAGGCTTTCCCCTACTTCCCGGATAACCTGCATGACTCAGCAGAGGCAGACATAATCCTGCTAGGTACACAACTCCAGTGACCTGGGAATCTCACCCCCATTCCCCACAGCAACCACAGACTCTCCACCCAAGGAGAGTGTGAGCTCAGAAACCGCAGCCCCACCCCCACCTGATGGTCCTTCCCTATCCACCCTGGTAGCAGAAAACAAAGGGCATTTAATCTTGGGAGTTCTAGAGCCCCACCCACTGACAATCCCTCCCCACACCACTACAGCTGATACTTTCTGGAAAGCGCCACCTCCTGGCAGGAGGTCAACCAGCATAAAAATAAGGCATTCAAATAGGGAATGCTTCCAGCTTTTGCTCATTCAGTATGATATTGGCTGTGGGTTTCTCATAAATAGCTCTTATTATTGTGAGATACGTTCCATCAATACCTAGTTTATTGAGAGATTTTTAGCATGAAGGAGTGTTGCATTTTATCAAAGGCCTTTTCTGCATCTATTGAGATAGTCATGTGGTTTTGTCATTGGTTCTGTTTATGTGATGGATTATGTTTATTGATTTGCGTATGTTGAACGAGTCTTACATCCCAGGGATGAAGCTGACTTGATAATGTTGGATAAGCTTTTTGATGTGCTGCTGGATTAGGTTTGCCAGTATTTTATTGAGGATTTTTGCTTTGATGGTCATCAGGGATCTTGGCCTAAAATTTTCTTTTTTTGTTGTGTCTCTGCCAGGTTTTGGAATCAGGATGATGCTAGACTCATAAAATGAGTTAGTGAGGAGTCCCTCTTTTTCTATTGTTTGGAATAGTTTGAGAAGGAATAGTACCAGCTCCTCTTTGTACCTCTGGTAGAATTCAGCTGTGAATCTGTCTGGTCCTGGGGTTTTTTTGGTTGGTAGGCTATTATTTACTGCCTCAGTTTCAAAACTTTTTATTTGTCTATTCAGGGATTCGATTTCTTCGTGGTTTAGTCTTGTGGGGGGTGTATGTGTCCAGGAATTTATTCATTTCTTGTAGATTTCCTATTTATTTGCATAGAGGTGTTTTTAGCATTCTCTAATGCTAGTTTGTATTTCTGTGGGATCAGAGGTAATATCCCCTTTATCATTTTTTATGGTGTCTATTTGACTCTTCCTCTTTTCTTCTTTATTAGTCAGGCTAGTGGTCTATCTATTTTGTTAATCTTTTTAAAAAAACCAGCTCCTGGATTCATTGACTTTTTGAAGGGGTTTTTGTGTCTCTTTCAGTTCTACTCTGATCTTAGTTACTTCTTGTCTTCTGCTAGCTTTTGAAATTGTTCTTGCTTCTCTAGTTCTTTTAATTGTGATGATAAGTTGTTGATTTTAGATCTTTGCCACTTTCTGATGTGGGCATTTAGTGCTATAAATTTCCCTCTAAACACTGCTTTAGCTGTATCCCAGAGATTCTGGTATGTTATCTCTTTGTTTTCACTGGTTTCAAAAAACTTCATTATTTCTGCCTTCTCTCACCACTCCTATTCAACATAATATTGTATGTTCTGGCCAGAGCAACTAGGCAAGAGAAGGTACAAGGTGTGTTCAAATAGGAAGAGGAAAACTCAGATTATCTCTATTTGCAGATGACATGATCATAATTTAGAAAATCCCATCATCTCAGCCCCAAAACTCTTTAAGCTGATAATCAACTTCTGCAAAGTCTCAGGATACGAAATCAATGTGCAAAAATCACAAACATTTCTATAAACCAGTAATAGACAAGCAGAGAGCCAAGTCATGAGTGAAATCCCATTCACAATTGCTACAAAGAAAATAAAATACCTAGGAACACAACTTATAGGTGACATGAAGCACCACTTCAAGGAGAACTATAAACACCACTGCTCGAGGAAATAAGAGAGAACACAAACGAATAGAAAAACATTCCATGCTCATAGATAGGAAGAATCAATATTGTGAAAATGGCGATACTGCCCAAAGTAATTTATAGTTTTAATGCTATTCCCATCAAGCTACCACTGACTTTCTTCACAGAACTAGAAAAAACTACTTTAAATTTCATGTGGAACCAAAAAAGAGCCTGTACAGCCAAGACACTCCTAAGCAAAAAGAGCAATCTTGAGGCATCACACTACCTGACTTTAAACTATACTACAAGGCTACAGTAACCAAAAAAGCATGGTACTCGTAACAAAACAGACATATAGACCAATGGAACTGAACAGAGGCCTCAGAAATAACACCACACATCTACAATAATCTGATCTTCAAAAAATCTGACAAAAACAAGCAATGAGGAAAGGATTGCCTATTTAATAAATGGTGTTGGGAAAACTGGCTAGCCATATACAGAAAACAGAAACAGGATCCCTTCCTTAAACCTTATACAAAAATTAACTCAAGATGGATTAAAGACTTAAATGTAAAGCCTAGAACCATAAAAACCTTAGAAGAAAACTCAGGCAATACCATTCAGGACATAGGCATAGACAAAGGCTTCATAACTAAAAAACCAAAAGCAATTGCAACAAAAGCCAAAATTGACAAGTGGGATTTAATTAAACTATAGAGCTTCTTCTCAGCAAAATAAACTATCCTCAGAGTGAACAGGCAACCTACAGAATGGGAGAAAATTTTTGCAATCTATCCATCTGACAAAGGCCTAATATCCAGAGTCTACAAGGAACTTAAACAAATTTACATGAAAAAAAAACAACTCTATCAAAAAGTGGGCAAAGGATTTGAACAGACATTTCTCAAAAGAGAACATTAATGTGGTCAACAAACATATGAAAAAAAGCTCATCATCACTGGTCATTAGAGAAATGCAAGTCAAAACCACAATGAGATACCATCTCACACCCGTTAGAATGGTGATTATTAAAAAGTCAGGAAACAACAGATGCCTCGAGGATGGGGAGAAATAGGAATGCTTTTACATTGTTGGTGAGAGTGTAAATTAGTTCAACCATTGTGGAAGACAGTGTGGCAATTCCTCAAGTATCTAGAACCAGAAATACCATTAGACCCAAGAATCTGATTACTAGGTATATACCCAAAGGATTATAAGTCATTCTACTATAAAGACACATGCACACATATGTTTATTGCAGCACTATTCACAACAGCAAAGACTTGGAACTAACCCAAATGCCCATCAATGTAGACTAGATAAGGAAAATGTGGCACATATACACCATGGAATACTACGCAGCCATAAAAAAGGATTAGTTAATGTCCTTTACAGGGGCATACATGAAGCTGGAAACCATCATTCTCAGCAAACTAAGACTGGAACAGAAAACCAAACACTGCATGTTCTCACTCATAAGTGGGAGTTGAACAATGAGAACACATGGACACAGGGAGGGGAACATCACACACTGGGGCCTGTCGGGTGGTTGGGTGAAAGGGGAGGGAGAGCATTAGAACAAATACTTAATGCATGCAGGACTTAAAACCTAGATGATGGGTTGATAGGTGCAGCAAACCACTTTGGTATATGTATACCTATATTATAAACCTCCATGTTTAGCACATGTATACCAGAACTTAAAGTAATACGTTTTTTTAAAAAAACAGAGCAGTAAACCACCAAAGCTAAGGACTCTCATGCCATGGCATCCTCTGCCACCTCCACCAGAACCAGCACTGGTATCCATGGCTGAGAGACCTATAGACAGTTCACAATAGAGGACTCTGTGCAGACAAACCCCAGTACCAGCTCGGAGACAGGTAGACATGCTGGGTGGCTAGAACCAGAAGAGAGACAACAATCACTGCGGGTTGGCTTACCGGAAGCCACATCCACAGGAAAAGGGGGAGAGTTCTACATCAAGGGAACACCCCATGGGACAAAATATTCTGAACAACAGACTTCAGCCCTAGACCTTCCCCCTGACAGAGCCTACACAAATGAGAAGACACCAGAAAACTGACTCTGGTGATATCACGAAACAAGACTCTTCAACACCCCCAAAAAATCACACTGGTTCACCAGCAATGGATCCAAACCAAGAAGAAATCCTTAATTTACCTGAAAAATAATTCGGGAGGTTAGTTATTAAGCTAATCAGGGAGGCACCAGAGAAAGGTGAAGCCCAGTGCAAGGAAATCAGAAAACAATACAAGAAGTGAAGGGAGAAATATTCCAGTAAATAGATAGCTTAAAGAAAAAACAATAAAACATTCAGGAAACTTTGGACATACTTTTAGAGATGTGAAATGCTCTGGAAAGTCTCAGCAATAGAGTTGAAGAAGTAGAAGAAAGAAATTCAGAGCTCACACACGAGGTCTTTGAATTAACCAACTCCAGTAAAGACAAAGAAAAAAAGATAAGAAAATATGAACAAAGAATCCAAGAAGTCTGGGATTATGTTAAATGATAAAATCTAAGAATCATCGGTGTTCCTGAGGAAGAAGACAATTCTAAAAGCTTGGAAAACATATTAGGGGGAATAATCAAGAAAAACTTCCTCAGTCTTGCTAGAAACCTAGACACACAAATACAAGAAGCACAAAGAACACCTGGGAAATTAATCACAAAAAGATCTTCACCTAGGCACATTGTCATCAAGTTATCTAAAATTAAGACAATGGAAAGAATCTTAAGAGCTTTCAGACAGAAGCACTAAGTAACCTATAAAGGAAAACCTATCAGATTAATGGCAGATTTCTCAGCAGAAACCCTGCAAGTTAGAAGGGACTGGCACCCTATCTTTAGCCGCCTCAAACAAAACAATTATCAGCAAAGAATTTTGTATCCAGTGAAACTAAGCATCATATATGAAGGAAAGATACAGTCGTTTTCAGACAAACAGTTGCTGAGAGAATTTGCCATTACTAAGACACCACTACAAGAACTGCTAAAAGGAGCTCTAAATCTTGAAACAAATTCTGGAAACACATTAAAACAGTACCTCTTTAAAGCATAAATCACACAGAACCTATAAAACAAAAATACAAGTTAAAAAGCAAAAACAGAAAACAAACAAAAAAACCCCAAAGTACACAGGCAACAAAAAGCATGATGAATGGAATGGTATATCACATTTCAATGCTAACATTTAATGTAAATGGCCTAAATGCTGCATCTAAAAGATAGAGAACCGCAGAATGGATAAGAACTCACCAACCATTTGCTGCCTTTAAGAGACTCATCTAACATAATGACTCACATAAACTTAAAGCAAAAGGGTAGAAGGAGGCATTTCATGCAAATGGACACCAAAAGTGAGCAGAGGTAGCTATTCTTAGACAAAACAAACTTTAGAGCTATAGCAGTTAAAAGAGACAAAAAGGGACATTATGTAATGGTAAAAGGCCTTTTCCAACAGGAAAATATCACAATCCTAAATATATATGTACCCAACACTGGAGCTCCCAAATTTATAAAACAATTACTAATAGACATAAGAAATGAGATAGGCAGCAACACAATAATAGTTGGGGACTTCAATACTCCACTGACAGCACTAGACAGGTCATCAAGAAAGAAAGTCAACATAGAAACAGTGGCTTTAACTATACCTTGGAAGAAATGGACTTAAGGGACATACACAGAACAATTCATCCAACAACTGCAGAATATGCATTCAATTCAACAGCGCATGGAATTTCCCCCAAGATAGACCATGTGATAGGCCATAAAGTGAGCCTCAACAAATTTAAGAAAATTGAAATTATATAAAGCATTCTTTCAGACTACCTTGTGATAAAACTGGAAGTCAACTCCAAAAGGAACCTTCAAAACCATGCAAATACGTGGAAATTGAATAACCTGCTCCTGAATGAGTATTAGGTCAAAAATGAAATCAACATGGAAATTAAAAAATTCTTTGAGCTGAATGACAATAATGACACAACCTATCAAAACCACTGGGGTACAGCTAAGGCAGTTCTAAGAGGAAAGTTCATAGTGCTAAATGCCTACATCAAAAAGTTTGAAAGAGCACAGACAATCTAAGGTCACACCTCAAGGAACTAGAGAAACAAGAACAAACCAAACCAAGCCCAGCAGAAGAAGGGAAATAACCAAGATCAGAGCAGAACTAAATGAAATTAAAACAAATTAAAAAATACAAAAGATAAATGAAACAAAAAGCTGGTTCTTTGAAAAGAAAAGTAAAGTTGATAGAACATTAGCAAGAATAACCTAGAAAAGAAGAGAGAAAAGCCAAATAACCTCATTAAGAAACAAAATAGGAGATATTACAACTGATACCACTGAAATACAAAAGATTATTCAAGGCTACTATGAACACCTTTATGCAAATAAACTAGAAAACCTAGAAGAGATGGATAAATTCCTGGAAAAATACAATTCTCCTACCTTAAATCAAGAAGAATTAGATACCCAGAACAGACGAATAACAAGCAGAGAGATTGAAATGGTAATTAAAAAATTACAACAAGAAAAAGCCCAGGGCTAGATGGATTCACAGCAGAATTCTATCAGACATTCAAAGAAGAATTGGTATCAATCCTTTTGACACTATTCCACAAGAGAGAGAAAGAGGGAACTCTCTCTAATTCATTCGATAAAGCCTGCATCACCCTAATATCAAAATCAGGAAAGGACACAACCAAAAAGGAAAACCACAGACCAATATCCTTGATGAACATAGATGCTAAAATCCTTAACAAAATACTAGCTAACTGAATCCAGCAACATATCAAAAAGATAAGCCACCATGATCAACCAGAGATGCAGGGATGGTTTAACATACACAAGTCAATAAATGTGATACATCACACAAACAGAATTAAAAACAAAAATCACATGATCATCTCAATAGATGCAGAAAAAGCATTCAACAAAATGCAGTATTCCTTTATGATTAAAACTCTCAGCAAAACTGGCATATGAGGGACATACCCCAATGTAATTAAAGCCATCTATGACAAACCCACAGCCAACATAATACTAAATGGGGAAAAGCTGAAAGCATTCTCTCTGAGAACTAGAACAAGACAAGATGCCCACTCTCACCACTCTTCAACATAGTAACAGAAGTCCTAGCCAGAGCAGACAAGAGAAAGAAATAAAAGGCATCAAAATCGGTAAGCAGGAAGGCAAACTGTCACTGTTTGCTTACCGTATGATTGTTTACCTTGAAAACCCTAAGGACTCCTTCAATAAGCTCCTAGAACTGATAAAATAATTCAGCAAAGTTTCCGAATACAAGATTAATGTACACAAATCACTAGCTCTTCTATACACCAGCAGCAACCAAGCAGATAATCAAATCAAGAACTCAATCAGTTTTACAATAGCTGCCAATAAAAATAATAATAATAATAATAATAATAATAATAAAAATACTTAGAAATATACCTAACAAAGGAGGTGAAAGGCCTCCACAAGGAAAACTACAAAGCACTGCTAAAAGAAATCATAGATGACATAAGCAAATGAAAACACATCCCATGCTCATGGATGGGTAGACTCAATATTGTGAGAATAACCTTACTGCCAAAAGCAATCTACAAATCCAACACAATCCCCATAAGAATACCACCATCATTCTTCACAGAGTCAGAAAAAACAATTCTAAAATTCACATGGAACCAAAAAAAAAAAAAAAAAAGACCTGCAGAGCCAAAGCAAGACTAAGCAAAAAGAATAAATCTGGAGGCATTACACTACCTGATTTCAAAATATACTGTAAGGCCATAGTCACCAAAACAGCATGGTACTTGTATAAAAATAGGCACATAGACCAATGTAACAGAATAGCAAACCCAGAAATAAACCCAAACACTTACAGCCAGTTGATCTCCAACAAATCAAACACAAACATAAAGTGGGGAAAAGACACTCTTTTCAACAAATGGTGCTGGGATAATTGGCTATCGACATTTAGGAGAATGAAATTGGATCCTCATTTCTCACCTTATACAACAATCAACTCAAGATGGATTAAAGAATTAAACCTAAGTCCTGAAATTATAAAAATTCTAGAAGATAACATTGGAAAAACCCTTCTAGACATTGACTGAGGCAAAGATTCCATGACCAAGAATCCAGAAGCAATGCAACAAAAACAAAGATAAATAGCTGGGACCTAATTAAAGAGCTTTTGTACAGCAAAAGGAACAGTCAGCAGAATAAACAGACAACCACAGAGTGGGAGAAAATCTTCACAATCTATACATCTGACAAAGGACTAATATCCAGAATCTACAGCGAACTGAAACAAATCAGGAGGATAAAAACAAACAATTCCATCAAAAAGTGGGCTAAGGACATAAATAGACAATTCTCAAAAGAAGATTTACAAATGGCCAATAAACATATGAAAAAATGCTCAACATCACTAATGATCAGGGAAATGCAAATCAAAACTACAATGCAATACCACCTCACTCCTGCAAGAATGGCCGTAATCAAAAATTCAAAAAACAGTAGACGTTGGCATGGATGTGGTGAACAGGCAACACTTTTACACTGCTGGTAGGAATGTAAACTAGTACAGCCACTTTGGAAAACAGTGGGGAGATTCCTTAAAGAACTAAAAGTAGAACTACCATTTGATACAGCAATCCCACTCCTGGGTATCTACCCAGAGGAAAAGAAGTCATTATTCGAAAAAGATACTTGCACACACGTTTTTAGCAGCACAATTTACAATTGCAAAATCATGGAACCAACCCAAATGCCCATCAATCAATGAGTGGATAAAGAATCTGTTATATATATTACATATATATAGCGGAATAATATGCAGTCATAAGAAGGAATGAATTAACAGCATTTGCAGACCTTGATGAGACCAGAGGCTATTATTCTAAGGGAAGTAACTCAGGAATGGAAAACCAAACATTGTATGTTCTCACTGATATGTGAAAGCTAAGCTATGAGGATGCAAAGGCATAAGAATGATAAAATGGACTTTGAAGACTTGGGGGTAAGAGTGGTATTGGGGCGAGGGATAAAAGACTACAAATAGGGTACAGTGTTTGCTGCTCAGGTGATGGGTGCACCAAAATCTCACAATCACCACTAAAGAACTTACTCATACAACCAAATACCACCTGTATCCCAATAACTTGTGCAAAAATAAAAAAATTAAAAAAATAAAGTATAATTCCAACTTCTTTATTTTTTTTTAATGTGGCTCTCCAGTTATCCCAGGACAATGTCACCCCTTTCAAAATCAATTGACCACAAATGTGGTGGTATATTTCTGGATTTTCAACTCTATTTCATTCATACATTTGTCTCTTCTCATACCAATACCACACTGGCTTGATTACTATAGCATTATAGTAAATTCTAAAATCAAAAATTATAAATCCTTCACATTTCTTTTTCTTTTTAAATACTGTTTTGGCTAAGCCCCTTGAATTTTCTTCTAAGCCCCTTGACTTTTCATGAATTTTAGGATCAGCTTACCAATTTATTCAAAAACGGTAGCTGAGATTTTTAAAGGAACTGTGTTTTTTTGTAGTTTTATTACCACAGTCTCACACAGCAATTTAAGCTACCTCTCATACTTAACACAATTCGTTTTGAAGTATAGTTGTTTATATTATAGTGTTATCTCTTTTTCTGGATTGTAAACTTCATGACAGTGGAAGCTGTATCTTATTCTTTAATTTCCTGAAAAGTCTTAAAAAATATTTGCAAAAACCAGATACTTGAAAATACTTAGCTTGTAGAAAATTTTTAAACTAGAACAGGCTGAAATCTAGTTAATAAGATATTTTTGGTCTTCTTCAAAGTGGATTTACATATATCCATTGTCAATTTGATCAATTACTGTCAAATAAGGACATGACCAGTTGGTTTTACAATATATGTATGATAGACTTGGGAATACCATTCTCCACTTTCTATCTCTATGCTTGTAAGTTTCACTTTGAGTACAAGGCTTGTTCGTAGCTGCTATTTTATTTTAGTCATTTAATCAGTCTTTGCTTTCTGGCCAACGTGGCTTAACCATGCCCCTCCCAACCAAAGAAAACAAAACAAAAAAACATGGAAGTACACATATTAGTTTTTTTTTTTCCCCAGGAGTTCACAGAAATTTCAGTAAATGAATATAAGCATAATTTAAAATGGTTTAAAAATAGAAATATGCTGGTGGTTGAGTGTGGGTCATGATTCATCAACTATTCATAAATAGCAGGAAAATAATAGTTACTCTGTTCATGCCATCTTGGCTAATGAAGAAAAAAAACAAAACACTTCTATATGTAGCACTTTTCCAGCCAAAAATAAATGGGTATCACTTTCAGGTTTTAATTGCCACATCTGTTTTTCCATGTAGTCATGGCATTAACACAATGGGACATGTCTTAATGATTAGTAGACATAATATGCATTATTTTCAGCTCACAGAAAAATCTTGCCAAGAGACTCCCATACATGGAATAAAGGTACAGGGAGTTTTCCAAATTGTAACCAATGCTAGTTCATCTATACCATGGTTAACAATGAATTACTTGACACATCTCTAATTAAAACACCAGAGTGGTGTTTCTAGTCAATAGGAATCACAGTGTGATCAGTGTGAACACATGCTTGCCAAGTTTCTGATTATTGTATGGCAGTACACACCCAGATGGTGTAGAGTTCTTTATATTTGATCCTCTGACACTTAAAATTGACACATGCCTGACTAGCTGTTCACTGTGGTAATGTATGCAATTCCCTGTTTTCTACTTGTATATCCTGAACCACCTACTAAAAATTATTTTTTTGTAAGTTAAGCAATTATTCTGATCTGCATAATTGCATACTCTCCAAGTCCATTATCCACAAATTGCATTCTATAGTTTTATATAAGTATGTCTCCAATTATTTACAAGTAAAAGATGATTTATAATGGAATAGATATGCCAACAGATGTGGCTAAATATACAAACAATCCAACTCAATTTGTAACCAACATACATACAATAGTCACTGCATACTTCTTGACTTCTTGATAGAGACAGACATTATTTTTAGATCAGTGTTCAGTATTCATTGCCATTTATTAGTATAGTCTAAACTCCTCACTGATTATTTCAATATCCTCTCAGCCAGCCCTAGCTTTGTGATATTCTGCAGTTTTCCTTTTTTTCATATTATCTCTCTATTCTCCACTCAGACATGTCAGACAGTGTCATTCTAAGGAATGAGTATAGGGACTGGAGACAGGAAGCCTTCACATCAGCCACCAATTGGTCCTGGGTCAAGTCTTCGTTTGCATAGGGTGTAACCTTAGTTCAGCCTCCAATTGGTTGCAGGCCATCTTCATTTACATAGGGTGTAGCGAATAGAAAACCTCTAAAGGGTACTTAAGCACCAGAAGATTTTGCAGCCAGTGCTCTTGAGCTGCTTGCTCCAGCCTTCTCCCACACTTTGGAGTGTACTTTCACTTCAATAAATCTGTGGTTTCATTGCTTCTTGTATTGTTTCTTTTGTTGTTCTGTTCTTTTGTTACTTTGTGCATTTTGTCCAATTCTTTTTTCAAAATGCCAAGAACCTGGACAACTGGTAGTCAAGACCTTCCACCGGTAACAATTCCATCATTTTACTTATGTGATGTTGCAGTACGACATGCAATGCAAAACCAGTGAACTATGATCCCTCCAGTTCCTGTGTGGCCTTAGGCAGATCAGAGAAATTTCACAGAGTGTCCAGTCTTTCCTCACTAAATTTAAGATGACATTAACTTACCTCACAAAGTTTTTAGAGTTAAGTAAAATAATGTAATTATAAGCATTTAACCTATGTAATTGATTCATTTTATTTCTTTATCGTCTGCCTTTATTTCTCAGGTTCTATTTAAAAATAGTCTGTTATTTATTACCCAGAATCTCACCTCCATTTTAGGTTTAAATGTAAAGGCGTTTGAGCCACTGCAATGCCAAGTGAGGCCCACTGGTTATCCTTAAGAAGTTCCACAAAATTGTACTATATTTTCAAAAGCATACCAGGCCAGATTTTCAAACTCAAAATTTGGTTTTGTCTGTTTCTTAGAACAGTTCAAACTTGAAGATCTTTATTCACTCTTAAACAGCATAAAATGGACTAGTGGAAAATGCTAGAGTATTTATTCCATTTTCAGTGAGAAAAATAATTGTCAAGTGGGACAGTTACTCATTTCTCTGACCATCATATTCTTTCTCTGTAGGAAGCTGCATAGAAAGTAAAATTATAATCAGAGGATTGCTTGGTGATCCTGGAATCAGAGCAGAGGTTGCTGGAACTTTGATTGCAGGGCTTAATGGCCTCTTGTTTTGACAGGTGGATGTGCTGCATTTCCACAGATACACCTGCCTCCCAACTAGAGCAGGTTTGTTCCAGGTTCAAGCAGTGACAGGGCTGCCATAGAGCACAAAATTAGTAGGCACCATTCACATGACAGTTTGTTTTAATTTTGCCACCTGAAATTGTGTAACGGTGGTCATGGTAAAAAAAAAAAAAAAAAAAACCTTTTCCCTAAATGATATTTTCATACACCCTTGCCAGTGTTATGTTTCCTTGACACTCTTTTTCTTTCTTTCTCTCTTTTTTTACTTCCAATGATTGCCAATTCTCTTCATAATTGGCTGTTTTCTTTTTTCAAGTTTTGCATTGCATTACCTGTTTTTAAATTGTATCTTATTACTGTCAGAAAAGCTACCTTTGCAAATCCTTTAAAATGACTTATAGGATAAACATTTTATTTAATGTGACATTTGGTTACATTTTAAAATTTTGATATGATTTGGAATGCAGCTTCCAAAAGAAAGAGTGACCAAGGCTATAAGGGTCTTTAAACATCCTTGCACCTTACAATCTGAACCTCCCTTAGCCAAATCCTCTTAAATTGCTTGCCAGGAGAAGAAAGCACTTTTTGTTCTAAGGGAAATAGAAGGTGAGTTACTAGACTCTACAGCACACAAAGAAATTTCCCCTAACTTTGCAACTAATTCTATAGTCAACAAAATATAAAAGCACTGTATTCTAACCCCTGCCATCTTATACTGTGGTGATGTATGTTAATGGTTTGAAAAAATTCTTCAGTAATAAAACTTGTTTACCTTTGTTTAATATAGGGTTTTCCTAAACTTCTATGATTCTGATTTTTTGGTAAGACTTATTAAAATTCTTTGCCACAGACTTTTAAAAACAGAGCGCTATTTTTTATTCATTTCTGCAGTGAACATTATTGACGTAAAGTAGAGAAAGTACAAGGTAATAATTTTGAAAGAAAAATCATTATATCACCTGTTTGTATGTTTTAAGGTTTAACTTATAAAAAGAAGGAGGCTTCCCAGGTTCTATGTTGCACTTACCCGTTACAGTCCCATGGGCCTAGCTTAATCTGGGCTAAGATGAACACTCAATGAACGGTCTGGCAGAGCTACAGATACTAGATGCTGAAAGCTTAAGGTTGCATCTTTTATCACTTCACAACAAAAATCAATCCACCAGGAATTAAATGCCTGTGGTGGTGGACATCTCCAGTTGACTTCTCTCTACTACGGAACTCCTGTGTTTGGCACACAATAACCAAGAGCTGATGGATTTCTGCTTTTCCAAGGCTCTCTCTCTTTCTCTCCTCCCAACCCGCTCCACACAAAGATGAGAAATTTTTAAAACGGATTGAAAAGCATTATGACAAGAAAACTTTAATATATTCTTGTTATACATGTTCACAGATTTTTCTGTTATGAGAGTCTCATCTCCTTAGGAATTTTATGTCACTTTAAGTAAAAATATCCCCAGAATCTTTTATGACAAGATTTTTCTACATGAATGCATCCACCCAAATGCTTCATTAATTTGTTTACCAAGACACATTGTATAACTTTCAGGTTTCCAGTTTAACAATCCAAGTATCTTATGGTATTGATTTGCCTAATTAACCAACTCAAATACTTTTTTTTTCCTGAAAATATGATGCAATTCCTATGTCCTGCAGCATATGTGAGGGAAAAGATATATACTTTTTCTTATCAGTTCCTCTTTTTCAAAAATGAGGAAGATTGAAGAAAAGGAAGAAGCCTATAATCTCAGAAATATTCTGGTTTAAAATACACAGAAAAATTTTAAAATGTCAGGACCTCCAGAAAAGAAGCCACGGCTCTCCTACCATTTAAGTGACTCTCAGTGCTACACCTCTATATAACAATAACTTCCCTTAATACCATGTAGAGGTCAAAGTCTTTCAATATTCTCTCCTTTTCCTTTGGTCAGCATAAGATCCCTTTGCATTTTAATGTAATAGTAATTGAAGCCATTTTTTACCAGGTGCAATGGAGCCATGTATCTGTAAAGGGAACTTGTAAACTGTTATTGTAATGTGGTCTCTAAACAGACCTCCTATAAGATAAAAATCAAATTTTTGATAATTAAAATAATAAAATTCCCTAAATTAGGGCTCCCCAAACAGAGCTAAGTATCAAAACATCCTAAGAATATCCTTCACAAATTGGGACTTTGCTGAGTGCCTTAGTTTTTCAGGTGTAAAGTTATTGTGGTTCAACAGGCACTCAATGTTTAGTGGCTTCCAAGAGAGGAATTTGCTGTATCGGATAATGGCAAGAAGAGACCAGTGATTTATGTGCATGAAATTCACTCCAGGTTGGGGTACATAGTCCCTTTATGTGCCTGCAATATCCTATATTGAGCTTTATCACTCATCTAACCACACTGCTTGGTAATGCTTGTTATTTGTTCATCTTCTGAGTAGACTATGAATTCCTTGTTAATCATATAATGGGCATCTTTGTATCCTAATGCCCAGTAAAATGTCCAGAACTCAATGAATGTTTTCTCAATTACTTAACTATGGAACTTAACCACTGCCACCATCACCGCCTCTACTAAAGCAAAAGAAGTGGGACGCTCTTTCTCTTTTTTTTTTTATCTTCCACGACATATCCTGATTGTTCATTCAAATCTGATTTAAGGTCATGGAACTTAGCAGGATTTTGATATAATGAATATTTATTGAGACATCCAAGTAGCCATTGCTTTTTATGTGTTATCCCCTTTAATCCTTACACAATGTAATTAAACAACGTAAGGCTCATTTTATAGATGATGAAACAAGTTCAAGACAAGTTTGAGTAGTTAACACTAGCAGAGTTCGGATTTGAACTGAATCTGTTGAACTCTAAAGGCTGGCATTTCCCCAGTATTCTGTACTGCATCTTTTAGAAAAAAAAAATCTCTCATTTTACAGACAAAAGAATTGAGGATTAAAAATACTTATGAATTGTCTGACTCTAGATGACTGAATAATGTTGTTCATTACTGGAATTTTAATTTCTGGACTGAAAATCCAATGGAATTTCTACTGAAAATAACATAAGAATAATGTTTCCCTTGGTCTCCACATGCTCTGTCTCATATCCTATCAGGGGCCTTATAATCAGTCCCAAAGACTAGAATTTTCAGCGTGATAATCTGGTATTTTTTTGTGGCAGAGGAGATAGTGATGGTAATAGCAATGATGCTGGTGATGGGAGGGTAGATGGTGGAAAATACTCATTCTCCCTGGTTCCTTTCAATGCAGCCCCATCTTTCCCAGGATTTAAGATTTGCTCTGAAGGCAAAAGAATGATACAATGGACTTTGGGGACTTTGGGGACTTGGGGGAAAGGGTGGGAGGGGATAAGGGATAAAAGACTACCAATTGGGAATAGTGTGTACTGCTCAGGTGATGGGTGCACCAAAATCTCAGAAATCACCATTAAAGAACTTACTTATGTAACCAAACACCACCCATTCCCCAAAAACCTATGGAAATAAAAACATAAAAATTTTAAAAAATCGCATTTGCTCTGATTCTCATCTTAGTTAACAAAGTTCCAAACGGAACTTTGATATCCATGGTCATTTCTAAGATGTACTGCTTGAGTTGTTTGTCTGTTTGTGAATGTATATGTGTGTTCTATGAGTGTATGTAAAAATAAGGGAAATACTGAAAATAAGAAAGAGTTTTTGGGGAAAGGAAGAGAGATTATATAAGGGGGAAA